>NC_000020.11:9611789-9763304 GCF_000001405.40 Homo sapiens | reverse complement strand
TGCCCCTCTTATTATAATTTCATGTGTGTGCATGTGTGTATGTGTGATAAGAACACTGAGTTCTACCGTCTTGGTACAATATAGTATTGTTAACTATAGGTACTATGCTATATAGTAGATCTACAGAACCTATTTATCTTGTATAAGTAAAACTTTGAACCCTCTAACCATTGCTTCCCCATTTCCCCTTCCCCTCAGCCCCAGGCAATCAGCATTCTACCTTCTGCTTCCATGATTATGCCTATTTTAGATTTCACGTATAGGTGAGATCATACAGTATTTGTATTTCTGTCTCTGGCTTATTTCACTTAGCATAATGTCCTCTAGATTCATCCATGTTGTTGCAAATAGCAGGATTTGTTTCTTTTTTTAAGGCTGAAAATATTTCATTATGCATATACACCACAGTTTAAAATCCATTTTCCTGTTCATGGGCATTTAAGTTGTTTCCGTTTCTTGGCTATTATGTGTAATGCCACAGTGAACAAGGGAGCACAAGTGTCTCTTCAACATCCTGATTTGAATTTCTTGGGATAAATACCTAGAAGTGGGATTACTGGACCACATAATTCTATTTTTAATTTCTTGAGAACTTTCCATACTGTTTTCCATAATGGATGTACTAATTTACCTTCCCATAAATAGTGTACCAGAGTCCCATTTTCTCCATATCTTTACCAACACTTATTATTTGTTGTCTTTTTGATAATAACCATTCTAACAGTCATGAGGTGATATCTCATTGTGATTTTGATTTGCTTTTCTCTGATGATTAGAGATGTCAGGTGCCTTTTAATATAGTTGGCCATTTGTTTGTCTTCTGTGGAGATATATCTGTTCAGATCCTTCCTGTGCCCATTTAAATTAGGTATTTGTTTTATTTTATTTGCTATTGAGTTGTATGAGTTTGTTATAGATTTTGGATATTAACACCTTATCAGATACAAGATTTGCAAATATGTTCTACTATTCCATAGGTTGTCTTTTCATTTTGTTAATTGTTTCCTTTGCTATGCAGAAGCATTTTAATTTGATGTAGTCCCATTTGTTTATTTTTGCTTCTGTTTCCTATGCTTTGGGTGCTATATCCAAAAATTTACTGCCAAGACCAATGTCAAAGAATTTTTTCTCTGTGTTCTTCTAGGAGTTTTACATCTTCAAGTGTTACATTTAAGTCTTTAATCCATTTTAAGTTGATTTTTGTGTGTGGTGTAAGAGAAGGGCCCAATTTTATTATTTTACATGTGAATATTCAGTTTTCCCATCACTGTTTATTGAAGAGGCTGTTCATTCCCCTTTTTGTATTCTTGCTGCCCTTGTCAACAATTATTTGACTGTATATGTGTGGGGTTTATGTCTTGGTTTTTTATTCTGTTCAATTGGTCTATGTTTATTTTATTTTCCTGTGAAGAAGAATTCTCAACAATTTTTTATATGGCTACTCTACCCTTAAGGAGGTGGAGTATGACTTCCAATCCATTTTAAAAAAAAATTCTTGTGTGTATTTAAAATATGCAACATGTTACAAGAGATGTATAGATGATAAAATGATTACAATAGTGAAGCAAATTAATATATACTTCATCTCACATAGTTACCCACTTATGTGTCTATTTTTATGCCAGTGCCATGCTGTTTTGATTACTATAGCTTTGTAATATAATTTTAAATTGGGAAGTATGGTGCCTCCAGCCTTCTTGTTCTTGCTCAAAATCGGTTTGGCTATTCAGGGTCTTTGTGGTTTCATATGAATTTTAACACTGCTTTTTCTACTTCTGATGTTAAAAATTGCCATTGGAATTTTGATAGAATTTTGATGCAAAATTTTGAATCTATAGATTGTGCAGGGTAGAATGAACATTTTACCAATATGAATTATTTCAATCCATGAACACCGAATATCCTTCCATTTATTTAGATATTCTTTAATTTCATCAGTGTTCTACAGTTTTTTGTGTACAGATATTTCAAGGGCAGGGATTCTTAATAATCACCACCTGATTCTAAACGGGCCTGTAACACAGGAAAGAGCCCACCCAGAAGCAGAGATGTCCTTCTGTGTGTTTGGATTGCACATTCAGTTAATACAGCATCAGGCCTGGAAGATGATATTTATTTTTCTTTGAAAAACAGTGGGATCAGGAAAAGCAAAGCTAAAGATAACTTTCTCCTTTTAAACTTCTGTTGCGTTAGGTTAGCCTGTGGTATTAGAGTCAAACATATTTGTCTACTCTGAAATGACACTAGTGATACTTTATATGCTTATGCTCTAAGGAAAACTACTTAGCATATTCTGTAGTGTTAAATGAATGTACTGCCTTCTTAGAACAGGCCCTGTAATTTTGTGATAAGAGTATCAATGTTTCACTTTGGGAGGCTGAAGCAGGCAGAACACTTGAGGTCAGGAGTTTGAGACCAGTTTGGCCAACATAGTGAAACCTTGTCTCTACTAAAAATACAAAAAAATTAGCTGAGCATGGTGATGCATGCCTGTAGTTCCAGCTACTCAGGAGGCTGAGGCACGAGAATCACTGCAACCTGGAAGGTGGAGATTGCAGTGAGCCGAGATCGTACCACGGCACTCCAGCCTGAGTGACAAAGTAATACTCTGTCTAAAAAAAAAAAAAAAAAGAAAAGAAAAGAAAAAAGATAAATGTCAGATGAATTGATATAGATGATGAACTTCAAAAAGAAGCTAAACTCAAATATACATTTTTTTTTTTTTTTCTCAACCATCAAAAACTTGAAATTCTCTGTTGAGAACTTCTGGGATCTTTTCTGACCATTCTGTCAGGAGCAGCCCAGTAGATTTGTAGAATTAATGTTGACACTTCACACCTTTTATGAGTCCCTATCCAAATGGGAGAACGGAAGATTTGTATCAGACAGTTTTGCTAAGAATTGAAAACAAGAGCCATTTTTTGGCTGTTAACCAGAATGAATTGTTGATCAAGTAGATCATTTAGCCCTCAATACTGGAACTCTTGATGAATAGCATGGAGAACTAAATTATAAAGTTTCAAGATTTTTTCACTATTTTGTCATTGTCCTAAAAGTCTGGAATGAGCTTTTTAAGTTTCTGTCTCTGTTTTTGGCTCTAATTTTTGACATCCCCCACAAAACAAAGTAGTACTTCAGTTATTGAAAGCCATTATGATTTTCAGTAAATATGTCTCATGTTGCTATAACACTCTGGTGGTCACAGCTACCCAATAACATCACATGGGAAGGACAGCTACATGGTTCAATTTAATTACAAATATTTACACACTTTCAATATAAGCCCTGGAAAACATTAGCGTAGGGTGACCCCTCCCAGTAGGATAGCAGCTTTTTGCAGCTCAAAGCTGTATTCTTTCCTAAAAGGTTTTATTTGACTAAATGGCTGACAGGCGGATATTGAATAGAGAATGAGATGGTTGGTATATGTTACGACTTGAATGTAACCCTAGACACAGAGTTTAAAATAGTCTGCTGGTGTCTTATAGGGACTTGTTCCCCATGACCCAACATTCCTGAGACCAGGCAACATTCTCTTCCTGCCTCCAGGGAGTCATTTCGTAGCTGGGTTTGGGTAAACGTTGTGGGTTTCAAAAAAGCCCCATGCATGGGACCAGGAGAGCCTCCTTTTTCGACCTTGTACCACAGGCATCACCAACTACTCAAGATGTAACTTTGTTCAGGGCAGGGCTACTCAAAGTGAGGATCCCTTTCCTTCATCTGGGAGCTTGATAGAGATGCAAATTCATGGGCTCCTCACCTACTGACTCTGAATCACTGGGGTGTGGCCAGGAATCTGTGTTTTAACAATCTCTCCCTTAAATTCTGTGAAATATCACAATTTTAGATTTCCCATAGGTGTGAGGCAACAAGCAGACATTAGCTGAATACTTCTCAAAAGATGATCGTGATCATCTGTTCACCTTGCCAAATAGAAGTTTCCCATAATGCAAACAGAGGAACACTTATCTATAGGATATGATAAGAAACAGGTTCTGACAAATGTAAATATGCTACAAAGTAATTTTATTAAAACATGGTGTTATCAGATGTTTAGCAGTGAAAAGAGATAGTAAAATTAAAAAGCCCAGCTACATTCTGCATCATCTTATATAACTTGCTACCCTTTCAATTAATACTTTTCCTGGATTTGTTATCTTGTAGGACGTAGTGTTAAGTGAAATCTTCCTTATTTGATTGTGTTCTCATATTGAATGCTTGCTTGCTTTCTCAGTAAGAGTTCCTAGGAGCCAAGCAAATATTACATTAGTGCATAATTCCTCCAGGGACTGTGTTGTGGCTGGAGTCACAAGGGGTTCTGTCCCCTTTGGAGAGCAGACCTGGAACTACACTCAGTGGGCTCTGAAACCTGAGCCCCAGAGCCTGTTTTGTTGGTAAAAACTTTGCTGCCTTTCTTTTCCTTAGACATGGCCTCCAGGCAGAAGACAAAGTAGACAATTTATAAAGAAGGGAGCCTGTGGATGTCACAGAGGCATTTCTTGTCCTTACTGGGGCAAGGACATAAATAGAACACATTTTATTTCTATAAGCTGCTATGTTCATTTTAGTTCCCACACATTTAGTGGTGAACTGATAAATATTTAACAACCTAGACTCCAAGGGGGAAAGCCTTGAATTTTAGCCTTGGCAAGTTTTCAAAATCTAAATACCATGGCCAATTTCAAGCTACCAATGCAATGTCACAAAGTCATGGTAGTGGGGCTGAAACAAGAGGCTGCAATCAGCTATCACTGTTCTATGCGAGCTGGCTTCAGCATACCACTATGCAAAGTACTCCCTTCCAGGTACTCGCTGAGATAGAAGATGGGAATTGAGCTAGCCCATGGTAGGCATGGATAGGAAGGAGACATCACTGTTGTTGCACGGGCTTGGCATGTGGGGAGATCTGTTGGTGTTCAGTACATGAGAAAACATTCATGTGTTCGATGCCACTCCCTTCTATGCTAATGTTTTGGCCACATGTGTTGGGGAGGTAAAATGCTGGATTCTATACTTCTGTTAATAGTATGATGAGTTCACCACAAAGCATAAGGCTAGAAAGGACATCCGTACCTCACATTTTCAGATAAATGACTTAGCAACACTATTATTCCCTGCTAAGGCTGCCTCAAGAGCAAAAGCAGGCATGCACACAATTCTTTGTTGCCCCAGAAAGTATCGCATACATTTGCTATTGTAGGAAAGTATAAAAAAGCTTGCAATCCAAATAAGGCTATGAAGTAGCTCCCAAGGGCAGCATAACTTCTGAAGCAAACTCCTTCTGCAAAGAATCCTGTTATTTATATACCAAGAGCAACAAACATCCATATTTACTTTTGTCTGTGCCCGAATTCAACATTTGATTGTTCTTGTCACTGTGAGGCTTGGCGTCTAAAACACTGTAATGACAGGTTACGTGGTGTGAGATAATAAAGAGTGGATGCATTTTATCCAGGGAACTGATTCTACTACTATCAAAGTATTTTGAAAGAAGAGGAGGAGAATTCAAGTAAAAGTTTAAAAATAGAACAGCATGAAGGAGATCAGTATACATGTGCATAAAAATGTTCTTGGAAGACCTAGAATATGGAACATTTCATTAGTGTATTCATCAGTACTTGGTTCTTGAAGTCAGGCCATTTTATGAGGGAGAAAATGTTGAAGCACTTGACCTAAGGATTCAAGTCCATGCTGAAATATGACAAAACCCTCCACTGAATCTCAGAACCTCTGAACTCTGGTATTTCTTTTAAAAATCCAGAGCTTCCCAAACAAAATCGAAGAAGAGAACAGAGCTTTAAAATCTTATTAAAGACTGGACTGAGTGGAAACCAATGAAATATCTAGAGTGGGGTTAAAGTCTGTATTTGATTTGATGAAATCTAACTTTTATATTTTCTTTTTATATTCATCATATTTTATTTTCAACCTATCTTGGATAAGCATGAAAATAGGTCTGATAGTCATAAGGCTATCACTACACTTCAGCTTTAAGAAGTTGTTAGGTTTATGAGGACTTGTAATAAAACTCCTTAATGAATTAAAAGATGTGGAATATATGTAATAGTTTTTTTTTCATATTGTCTTAATTTGGGTTGTACCACAAGTAGACCCTGAGAAAGGATTCTAACACAAGTATAGTTTATTGAGGAAGTAACCCCAGGCAATACCTAGGAGAGGAGAAATGAGACAGGGTAGGGAAAGAATTCGGTGAAAAGTATGTTTTCAAATGAGTTGCCATTATGGACAACTGGTGCTCAATCCTGCTGGGGAACTCTAGGAGACATTGTAGAACATGCCCCTGAATTGTCCCAAGTGAAAGGCAAGAAAGCTGGTGTAACCAGTAGCTCTCTTTCTGCCATCAGTTAAAAACTGCTTCCAGAGTCATGAACTATTTGACACTACGGACTTTCCCTGCACTAGGGCTAGGTGTGTTCCCATAGTGAGATAAAGGCCCTCTGGGTAATAAGTTACAGATGTTTGCAGTAACCGGCCTTTGCTGTGTAGAGAGAGGACATGCCTTAGTTCAGCACTGTCCAAAAAAGTTTAATGTGAGACACTAACATGAGCTATATACATTGTTTTAATTTTTTCAGGAGCCAATTACGATGTAAAAAGACACAAGAGAAATTAATTTTAATAATATATTTCTTAACCCAGTACATCCAAAATACCATTTTAACATGTAGATAACGTAAAAAGTGTTAATGAGTTATTTCACTTTTTGTCCCAGAACTTTGAGATTTGGTGTGTATTTTACAACGCATTTCATATTTCAACAAACTAGCCACTTTTCAAGTGCTCAGCAGCTGCCGGGATGGGAGGCTGGGGGTGGTGTGTGGCTACTGTATCAAACAGTGCAGTTGTAGGGGAATGCACCAGTGTTTGCATTGCTATTTACTGGATTTGGGGCATGTGTCCCAATTACCCTCTGAGCTACACTGAAGGCCAGCTCCACCCAATGCATCAGAGAACCAGATACGTAGATACATTTTTGGCTCAACTAATGCTTTACTTTCTCAACTAGATTGTGCTCCTCTGATTTCTCAAGACATAAAACCTGGAAAAGGTTATCTTCCACATATTTTATAGAATATTAATATTAGTATTTTGAAAACTAACATTTTCAATGTCTTCACAAATGCATTGCTGCTGTTTTTATTAGTATGAGTTTGGGATTTAATTAGCACAAATTCAGTCCTCACTTATTCTCTTTTTTTCTCCCTTCACCCAGCAAATACTTACTGAACACTTCCTGTGGGCCAGCACAGGCCCTGTGGCCCCTCAGTGATGAAACAAAACCCTATCTTCATGGAGCTATGTTTCAGTGATGGGGAAGGCAGACAGTAAACAGAATACCATATCCATATATAAGAGCCATGAAGAACAGGTTCTTGGCAAATTGTTTCTGCAATGGGTTGACAGGTTTCTGCAATGGGTTGCCATCTTACTTTAATCAGATGCCATATGGAAAAGCAAGTAAGATGGATAGTGGTTATTGGTTTTAAAAGAGGATTTCTCACTTTTTGGTGCATTTCATCTCAGTGTTCCTTTCATTAGAGCCTTGATTTGGATTCTTGCTTTGAACTCATTTACAGGAGACTTTTTAGGAACTGAACTGAACTATAAAATGAGTTGAACTCTGTCTAGTTAGGAGGGTTGTGTACACACACTGCCGTGTTTTGCATCTCTGCATGCCTAATTTAAGGGCAGCTCACACCTCTTCCCCACAGGCTGTCAGATGCATGGCTGAATCATGGTTTGTGTCATCTTCATGGCATAAACTTTACAGACCTTTGAAAACTAGCTGCCAGCAGGGCAGGTCAAAGACTGTGTCTTTGCATATCTCCAGTGGAGCCCTATGAGGCATTTATTTGAGTTGCTAATGTGAGTGAGGCTGTGATCTCTCTATTAATTAAGTCTGTTTTATTCATTGGGTGAAATGTGAAAGCATTTAATAATTTAAAGACTTGATGTTTTCAAAGTGTATTTGACTTTTGAGGTTCAAGACACTAAAAAAAGGTTAACTTGAAGCAATGGCACTTGCAAAGATTTTACTGCAGCTGATTGCATATGCAGGATATTTCTGGAGTCATGTATTATGCCAGAAAGATTATTTCAGTAGGATTTAACTGCCTGAGTATAATAAGTAGAGTGTTTTATTACATAATAATTGCCTTGAATGGGTGTGGGTATTTCATTTGGCTATTGAAATCATGCTAATGTAACTGTAATTGAAAAGATTACATTTACTTTTTAAACATCTTCGTTAACACATCACATTTGGTCAGCTGATGCAATCCTTAAAATCATATGTTTTATTTTCACAGATTTAATTTCCTGAGATATATTGCCTCTTGAAACTTTTTAAAGACATTTCCCGATAGACAAAGGTAGTTGAGTTCCTTTCTATACAACTTATTGAAACTGCCTTTGCAAAAATTATAACAGGGAGAAAATTGTGACAGTGAAAGAAATCTGACCTAACCAACTCCATCTTGCTTATAACCTCCAAACTGTCCTTGTTCATTCCTGGGCACAGCCCTAACTTTGGGAGGAACTTAGTTTATAGTCTAACTTTGAAAGAAACATGATAACAATGCTTTTCTGAAACAAAACCCCTTCTTGCCTATGAACCAGACTGCCTTTGTAGGACTAACAAATTAACGACAAGATTAGAAATTATGGTTTAGGAGTCATGCAGCTAGAGACCACAAGATTCTAAACCTCCCCAATTGCTCCTAGGGATAAAACATCTCTATTGTCAAACCTAAGACTGGTGCTCAAGATATTTTTCAGACCTTGCACTCAATGGATCACCTGGCACCACCCAAATCAGTAAATTACTTCATCTGGTCTCATGGCCCCACCCAGGAATGGACTCAACAGAAGAGGACAGTTTTGATGCCCTGTAATTTCATCTCTGACCCGACCAATCAGTACTCTCCACTCCCTGGCCCCCTACCCACCAAATCATCCTTAAGAAACCCCAGTCTCCAAATTCTGGGGGAGACCAATTTAAGTAGCAATAAGGTGAATTAAAGTTTTTCTTTATTGCAATTCCCCTGTCTTGATAAATCCACAGTTGTATTAATATCTGGGCAGTGGGCAAAATGAACTCACTGGGCAGTTACATTATTTCCTAATTTTCAGTGGTTACCAACAAAGTAAAAACTGATGCTAACTATCTTAAGCAAAATGAAACTTTCTGGAAAGATATGGGAAGGGGAGAATTGATTGGAGTCTTAAGTATCAAACTTTGCAAAAAGGCATCTTAGGTAGGAGCCCTTGGATGCAGACCTGAGATGGAGATTCTTTGTGCAAATGACTTATTGAGGGAATGCTCTCTGGAGAAAGCTGTAAAAGAGTGAGGGAAACTGGATAGGCAGGAGGAGAAGCCAAGCACAAAATAAGGGCTCAGGTGAAGTCTAGCCTCAGCTTGATCCATGAGGAGCTCTGGAGCTTAAATGCCATCAGAGATATTCTGGTATTCTGCTTTGTCTCTCTGGTCTTCCTCCAGTGTTCTTTCTTATACAACAGTCTACAGATGAGCACCTATTTGGGATTGTGTTTTCAGTAGGCTTTGGCAAAACATAAGAAATATATTTTGCTCTTTGTTAGCTTTTTGATTAGGATTTCCCTTTATGGGCTATCACATTTCATACAATGATGGGATTAGGAGAGGGATATGAGTATGAGTGATTGTGTGTGTATGTATAATGTCCTTCTTGGTAACATAAGAAGTGGAAAATTGTATGTTAATTGGCCCCAAGAATTAAGAAAAAAATACTCCTCTGTGAAACTCTATATACACTCCTGCATTCTTACTTGGCATTATTAATGTGAAGCTTAAAGAATAGGAATTTATCATATAGTTCATGGTCATAGCTGTTAATATAGACCCAACCTCAAACAATACATTATACTATATGCTCGAGTAGCATGGCCTTTTTTGATGATAATAAATCTTAATCAAAAAAACAAATGCAAACTTTCTTGAGTAGGGTATTGCACTTTTATAAGTTACATAGTGTAAACATACTTGATTCTTTACTTTCCCACTGTAACAATAGATTATTGCTATGTAACACACAACTTCAAAATTTAGCAATTTAGAACAAGCATTTATGTCACTTATTGGTCTCCAGGTCGTCTGGGGAA
Organism: Homo sapiens; assembly: GCF_000001405.40. Classification (NCBI taxonomy): domain Eukaryota; kingdom Metazoa; phylum Chordata; class Mammalia; order Primates; family Hominidae; genus Homo; species Homo sapiens. Next base: position 9,753,143 of record NC_000020.11, on the reverse strand, counting down.
TTATTGTGCATCTAGGCTGAGCTAGGTTGCTGCCAGCTGGTTGGCTCATGTGTGTGAGGTCTGCTGGAGATCAGCTTGGGGTTGGCTGGTCTGGGTTGCCCTCTTCTAGGATGGCTGGAACTTCTAGGATAACTGAGGCCACTTTCTGTGTAGTCTGTCATATTGCAGAAGACTTGTTCTCATGCCAGTGACAGGGTTCCAAGTGAGGGTGGAAGCTGCAAGCCTTCTTGAAGCCTAGCCTCAGAACTTTTGGCGTGCTTCTGCCTCCTTCAATTGGTCAAAGCAAGTCACATAGCCAAGCCTAGATTCAAGTCATGGGGACAACAGCTCCACCTCTTGATGAGAGGGGTTGTGAAGTCACATTGCAAGGGCTTGGATACAAGGAAGGATGGCAAAATGTGGTCATTTTTACAGTCTGCCTCACGCTGATTCCCCATATTAAATCAGTAATTCTTACATATTTTATCATTCAATTTCCTTAGTCTTATTTTTAAATTTTTTAAATTGATAAGTACATATTTATGGGCTATGTGTGATATTTTGATGCATATATACAATGTGTAATGATCAAATCAGAGTAATAGGATATATACCACCTCAAAAATTTATCATATCGTTAAATCTACCTCTTACCACTGCTAATCCAAGCCACCATTATCTCTCCCCTGGTAGACCACAGTAACTCCGTAACTTATCTCCCTACTTCCACTCTTGGCCATCCCTAATCCGTTCTTCACACAGCAGGCATGATGATTTTTTGAAAATATAAATAAGTTTTTTCCTCTTGCTCTTAGAATAAATCTATGCTCCTTTCTGAGGTCTAAGAGTTGCCACAGTGATCTGCCCCTTGCCCAGTTCTAGCCTTACCTGTGTCCTTAGAAGTCCTGGAACCTATCAAACCCCTTCTGTTTCAAGGACTTTGTGATTGCTTGACCCTGCCTCTGGCTTGTGGCTTCTGCAACTTTTCATATGATTTATTTCTTTTCATACAACCACATCTTCCTTAGTCACCTATGTCAAGCAGGACTCCCCTGATTACTTTCCGCTGTGTAGCTTTGTGTACTTCCTTCATAATACTGTTCAGTTTGTTAATTTACACGTTATTGCCAATCTCTTCCACCAGATGTGTGCTTCATAAAGTCAAAGACAATATCTATCTCACGAGGTTTGGTCATTTACAAAAAAGAAAAACACAGCGTCTGATTATGCACATCATTGCACATATTAGTTGCTAAGTAAATGTTTGTTGATGTCTTACAGAGCAGACTCCCTACATGAATTTTTTACTAAAAACAAAACAGGAATCCTTGTAACCTTTCCTTTTAAAATGGGTTTTTTATTTCCATATTTTCATAGCAACATACCCAGTTACACATCATAAGTATTAATCATGACAAATGATCTTTTGTTATGGAAATAGAATTGATATGGTCCAAGGAATTAAAGGTAGATGCCTTTGATGCTGTGTATATAGTGATGACTCTTACAAAAGAAATGTATTAGTCCATTGCTTACTTGATACAACGTAAGCAAACATTTTCAGAAAGGGGTCTTTGCTAGATAAAGGCCTCAGTGTTCAGAGCCTCGTTTTCCAAATGGAGAAGAAAGTACTATAAAATTGAATTTTATTCATGCTTCAGAGAGAAATGAAATCTCTCCATCATGAAAAATGGGTATCAGGTGCTTTTGATTTCCTTTTATCAGCTGCTAATCAGAAGAGATGAGGAGAGAGAAGCAAGCTAATGAAGAAACCAGTCGTTTCAAAGACAGTTGTATTGTAGGAATCTTTGTGATTGTTAATTAGATGATGGCCTTGGGAAATACATTGTGAGGGAGAGAAATGGAGGAGGAATTTGAATATTGCAAAGCCTCTCCCGAGATGGAAAGCATCTAAATGTGTTTGTGTTAAAATATTTTGAGTCATAAGACTACATTTTGAATAAGACATAGTGTTTCAAAGACACTAGAGGACCTTTTACCTCATAGATTCTGTATACATTAGTAATGATTTATATCTATACAGTAGTAATTATTCATATAATCTCTTAGCATGACTAATTTGGAAACACATTGCAGTGCACATTTGTAATTTTGGGAAGCTACCAAATATCTACAATCTCTTTTCTAGCTGGGAGAACTTGTTTTGGGAGACTGCAGAAGCCAAAAATGCCATACACTGTCAACTTTCTTGGTAGCTAGGGCACAGACATGTGGCCTGGGCTTGGGAAATCAGATAAACCTACTCTAGACTATAATGTAAAGAAGTGGAGCAGGAGAGAATCCATTTTATTGGTGGAGGTGGTATCAATTGGGACCATAGGGATGGTAGGAACTATCATCAGTACTCATGGTGGTTACAGTGTAAGCGATCATGGCCCTTAATAGCACATATGTATCCTCATTGGGCAGGTTGGGGTGGAATTCTAGTCATAGAATCTACTGCTGCTGTAGCTTCTTTTGGTCCTTCCTTATTCTTTAGGCAACACTGTGAGCTATCTGTTATCCTTTCAATAAATTTCATAAATTACTTTATTCTTCCAGAAAGCAAGGTAACTTTTGGTTGCTTATACATAAAAACCATGACTAACTCACTCCAACAGAAAATGCTAACCATTTTGAGTACCATATAATGAGTAGTTGTATTTCGTCAAATACATAGTGCTTTATACAATTATGTTGCCCAGTACCACCCAAATATTGAGAGGATTTATTTAGAAGGATTTAAAAGTTTTGTTGCATTGGCTTTCCAATTCTTCTTTTATTAATTTAAAAAATCATTACTATAATTTTAAAATTAGAGCCTCCTTCGTCAATGTTATGCTTCATGCTGTCTGTTTAAAATGATGTCACTTTTATCTTAAAGCAGAGTTGTGTTAAATAGAATTAGACTATTTAACAATATTTCTGTTGAGTCTGATCATACTGCTTGTACGTGTTAGGAGGTGTCAGGGAGGCAAACATTTGCTGCCACCAAGAGAGTAGTAATTTCCCTCTGGTAGAATGTTTAGGCCATAAATGAAAAAGGGTGATGCACTCAATAACTGAAGATCTATGTGGCTCAACAACAATTTATTTACTTAAAATATTTTATTGGATATTTACTAAACAGCCAGGATCTATAAAACACTGAGAAGTCAGAACTGAATAATGTTTGGATAATTTGTCTTAATGAAATGCAGCTTTTAAGAGCTGATAACGTAAGGCAGTGACGCTCAAAATCTGGCCTGAGGACGTGTGCCATCTGCAAACTGAGTGTTACTGGTCAGCAAGGAGATATGGAACTTGGGCTACCATGTAAATCATTCAACACCCTGTCCAGTCCAGTTAAACTGTAGTCCAGCTGATGCTTCTCTCACATAAGACTTTCCTGATGAAGGAAGCAATGAATTGATTTACATCCTTGTGCGGATTCCTTGTCTTGTCATGGATCAGAACAAACAGTTTGTATACTGGCTACTTTTTGTAGCAATAATTTAGTGGGTAATAAATATTATAAAAGGCAGGAAATACATGTGATTACATCAATCTATGGAACAGCAATAATATGACTTCCCATTAACATTCATTTCAAAACAAGCATTTAAATTAGTACTTATTTCAGAACCCTCATTTATCGTCTGCTTTCCATGAGTGAGCCCTGGACAGGTGCTATGTACAAAACAGTTTTCTGTATTTTGTCAGATCTTAAATAATCATTGTCATCAGGATTTTTCAACCTCATAAGTGGGAAAAGGCATAAAACCAATTGTATACATTCAAATATCAGATATGTTTTATAAGAATTATAGATTATTAGAAAGTTCTGTCTCTATATTATTTTAAATGAATACTGGATAAGTTGAAGGTTATATTTTTATCTGAATTGTGTGTGTGTGAATTATGTATGTGAGTTGGTAGCTCTCAATGGATATTTCAAAAATTAATTACTGCCAAGTGAGAACTAGTAAGTATTTGAAATAATAATGTCAATGATAATAACAATAGTAAAGTAAGATACTGAGTTTTTTTGTGCACAGCTATGGGGTTATTTCTTAATTGCTTTCATATTATTCATACAAATAAAGCACCAGATCTAAAAAACTAAAATATGTTTTTCAATCACAATAAATTTAAACTAAAGATAACCAAACTAACCTGCGGTAATGGAGGCCAGAAGAGGAGTTAAGTTTGGAGGATACTGGCAGGAACAGGGCACGAGAGAAACTTCTGAGGTGCTGGAAATGTTCTAGGGCTGTGCTGTTCAACATGGCAGCCACTAGCCACTGTGGCTATTTGAAATTGAATTAATTAAATAAGTTTCTCATTCACATTAATGAGATTTGAGGTGCTCATAACACTGTGGCTAATGGCTAATGAATTAGACAGTGCATAATTATGTTTTTTTATGGAACATTTCCAGCATTGCAGAAAATTCTATTGGATGGCACAGCTTTAGATCTTGGTCTGAGTTGTTATGTGGGTGTCCAAATATGCCAATATTCATTGAGCCATACACTTAAGATTTGTGCACTTTACTGTAGTATGTTGTATATATTGTAGTAAGCCATATGTCAATTTGAAGAGTACATTTTTAAAAAGTTAGAGATTTGGATCAGATAGTTGTAGATATGTGGTGTTATTTCTGAGGGCTCTGTTCTGTTCCATTGATCTATATCTCTGTTTTGGTACTAGTACCATGCTGTTTTGGTTACTGTAGCCTTGTAGTATAGTTTGAAGTCAGGTAGCATGATGCCTCCAGCTTTGTTCTTTTGGCTTAGGACTGACTTGGCGATGCATGCTCTTTTTTGGTTCCATATGAACTTTAAAGTAGTTTTTTTCCAATTCTGTGAAGGAAGTCATTGGTAGCTTGATGGGGATGGCATTGAATCTATAAATTACCTTGGGCAGTATGGCCATTTTCATGATATTGATTCTTCCTACCCATGAGCATGGAATGTTCTTCCATTTATTTGTATCCTCTTTTATTTCATTGAGCAGTGGTTTGTAGTTCTCCTTGAAGAGGTCCTTCACGTCCCTTGTAAGTTGGATTCCTAGGTATTTTATTCTCTTTGAAGCAATTGTGAATGGGAGTTCACTCATGATTTGGCTCTCTGTTTATCTGTTATTGGTGTATAAGAATACTTGTGATTTTTGTGCATTGATTTTGTATCCTGGGACTTTGCTGAAGTTGCTTATCAGCTTAAGGAGATTTTGGGCTGAGACGATGGGGTTTTCTAGATATACAATCATGTCATCTGCAAACAGGGACAATTTGACTTCCTCTTTTCCTAATTGAATACCCTTTATTTCCTTCTCCTGCCTAATTGCCCTGGCCAGAACTTCCAACACTATGTTGAATAGGAGTGGTGAGAGAGGGCATCCCTGTCTTGTGCCAGTTTTCAAAGGGAATGCTTCCAGTTTTTGCCCATTCAGTATGATATTGGCTGTGGGTTTTTCATAGATAGCTCTTATTATTTTGAAATACGTCCCATCAATACCTAATTTATTGAGAGTTTTTAGCATGAAGGTTTGTTGAATTTTGTCAAAGGCCTTTTCTGCATCTATTGAGATAATCATGTGGTTTTTGTCTTTGGCTCTGTTTATATGCTGGATTACATTTATTGATTTGCGTATATTGAACCAGCCTTGCATCCCAGGGATGAAGCACACTTGATCGTGGTGGATAAGCTTTTTGATGTGCTGCTGGATTCGGTTTGCCAGTATTTTACTGAGGATTTTTGCATCAATGTTCATCAAGGATATTGGTCTAAGATTCTCTTTTTTGGTTGTGTCTCTGCCCGGCTTTGGTATCAGGATGATGCTGGCCTCATAAAATGAGTTAGGGAGGATTCCCTCTTTTTCTATTGACTGGAATAGTTTCAGAAGGAATGGTACCAGTTCCTCCTTGTGCCTCTGGTAGAATTCGGCTGTGAATCCATCTGGTCCTGGACTCTTTTTAGTTGGTAAGCTATTGATTATTGCCACAATTTCAGCTCCTGTTATTGGTCTATTCAGAGAGTCAACTTCTTCCTGGTTTAGTCTTGGGAGGGTGTACGTGTCGAGGAATTTATCCATTTCTTCTAGATTTTCTAGTTTTTTTGCGTAGAGGTGTTTGTAGTATTCTCTGATGGTAATTTGTATTCCTGTGGGATCGGTGGTGATATCCCCTTTACCATTTTTTATTGCGTCTATTTGATTCTTCTCTCTTTTCTGCTTTGTTAATCTTGCTAGTGGTCTATCAGTTTTGTTGATCCTTTCAAAAAACCAGCTCCTGGATTCATCAATTTTTTGAAGGGTTTTTCGTGTCTCTATTTCCTTCAGTTCTGCTCTGATTTTAGTTATTTCTTGCATTCTGCTAGCTTTTGAATGTGTTTGCTCTTGCTTTTGGTACTGTTGGCTTTTCTGGTTCAGCTCAAGGAATGTCTGTGCGGTTCCTGTGGCAGCCACTAGCCACTGTGGCTATTTGAAATTGAATTAATTAAATAAGTTTCTCATTCACATTAATGAGATTTGAGGTGCTCATAACACTGTGGCTAATGGCTAATGAATTAGTGCATAATTATCTTTTTTTATGGAACATTTCCAGCATTGCAGAAAATTCTATTGGATGGCACGGCTTTAGATCTTGGTCTGAGTTGTTGTTACATGGGTGTCCAAATATGCCAATATTCATTGAGCCATACACTTAAGATTTGTGCACTTTACTGTAGTATGTTGTATATATTGTAGTAAGCCATATGTCAATTTGAAGAATACATTTTTAAAAAGTTAGAGATTTGGTACTGTTGGCTTTTCTGGTTCAGCTCGAGGAATGTCTGTGCGGTTTCTGGACAAGAAAGCCTGGGCAGGGATGTAGGTGATAGAGAAAAGATGCGTTCCAAGACCTGCACTGCCATGATGGAGGCAGCCCTCAATGGGAAAGCGCCTTAAGAGACAGGTGTCCAGGGTGTGTGGGGCAGGGCAGGGCTATGGCTGTATGAAGTCTATCAGCCAAAAGGGAAGTGTCTGGGAAGTTTGTCCTTTGGATAACAAATAAAAGGCTATCTCAGTCTTTGGAAGATCATTACCAGATAAGAGAAGATTTTATTCTCTGTATGGGAGATGAGAAAGTTTTGGGAACATTTTTTATTAACATTGGGTTTTCTCTGAGTCATTTTTTAAAACTTTCTTCTCTTTGATGCATATCCTCTCTTGATTACTGATTTTTAGGGGAGAAAAAGCTGAGGCCACAAGTACTGAGAAAACAATATATATTCCACCAAACTGGATTCATATTTCTCTTTTTTTTTAGTTGTTACATTGGCATTCCCCCTTCTTTTATTATCTCATTTTTCTTTTCAGATTTAGAGGATTTAGGCAGAATTAACTCATTTTTCTGTTCTTCATTCATTTAAAACGTTACTACATAAAATGTGATCCATGGAGTGGCAGCATTGGTATCACCAAAAGCATGTTAAAATGCAGATTTTTGGGTCCTACCCCAGACCTACAAAGCTAGAACCTGCCTTTCACCAAGGCATTCATGTACACATTACAGGTAAAGAGGCACTAGTGTAGAAGTGTAAGATCAACGCATGAAAATAATATAGAGTACCCAGAATATTGCAACACTAATAAATTAGGTTAATCATTTTGTAACCCATTCATTAGCCAAGATGAGTTATAGGTATTAAATTGACCACCTATTATTTGCTTAATTTAATAGCTGTAAAGGATTTTTTCCTTTTTGTGGCCCTTTTCATTTCACAAACTGAGTCACCAATGTCACAGTTCTACAAGCTTGTTCTAAGAGGATGAACTGTGACATTGGTGATATGTCGAATGTGATTCATATATTAAAAGCAAAAATTGCTTTTTGATGTGGTGTCACTCACAGCAAAAATGACATTAAAAAAAGATAAATGCACCATTTTCAGCTTTTGACTAAATGATGGCAATTTAGTAAGAAATAACTTGATACTGACAACTTTCAATTAATCGCTAAGATTGAAAGAAGAAAAAGAATGAATGAGCCCCAATGTCAGGTAATTAATATTACTTATAGTTAGCTTTGTAATATATGTTCTGTTTACTTTTGACTGGGGATGGCTTCATCTCAAATCAAATACTAAGAACATACTCTGAAAATGGGACTTGGAAAGAGTGAAGTGTCTGTCTACTGTCCTCTCTCTATCCCCATTCTCCTGTTGTTAAAATTTTTTCAGCAGTTTATACCATGGGCAACCTAAACCACTCATTTCCCAAGATGCTTCTCAGTATAGTTAAAATGAGCTGATTTTGCTGAAACCACAGAGCAGGAACCAAATCATAGTAGCATGAAAAACAAAACTTGAAATTTGAGAGTGATGTGGAAACAAAACAAGAAACCATGCTGAGGGCTGTGGGTGTGTCAACCATTACCCCAAAGGCAAGAGGAGATAGGCTGAAGTCACAGCATGCATGACCTTGAGCTGGTGTGGAACATCATTCAAGCTGGTGGTTGACCACACACATCTCATTCATGTGAAGTTCTGCTGTGATGCTGTTTCTTCAGGGAGATAATCCCAAGGGTCTGCCAATTGTCTATTCAATCCACAATCCCCCATTTAGTCAATAATTGCTGATGTTTATTCCAAGCTCTTACTTTGTTAATATTTTAACTCATTTATCCACTTACTAAACTTATTTTAAAGGTCTGTGAAGACTGGGAATGCCAATGTCATCAGAAAAGTCTTTGTTTATAATGAGCTTAAATGATCTAGCTCTTACATTAGGAGCACAAGCCAGTTTTGCCAGTTGAATGAGCTATTAGGCATAAATTATTTGTTCTAGAAGAAGCCATATTGCTTACTTGGGTTTTTGTTTATACTTAATGAACTGATGTTTCAGGACTTTGTATTAATCTTTAGGCTCTGTATTAATTTCCTGTGACCACTGTAACCAATTACCTCAAACATGGTGGCTTAAAACAGTTGACATCTATTCTCTCAGTCTGGGGGCCAGAAATCTGAAGTTATTATCAATGACCTAAAAATAAGGTATCTACAGGGACCCACTTCCTCCAGAGGCCATAGGAGACCATCTGTTCCTTGCTTCTTCCAGCTTCTGGTGGATTCCAGCATTCTTTGGCTTGTGGCCACATCCTGCAGTCTTCAAGGCCAGCATCTTCAAATCCCTCTCTTCACATTGCTATCTCCTCTGTGTGTCATTTCACCCTGTCTCTCTGTTGTAAGGATATATATGATGGTATTTAGGGTACACCTGGATAATCCAGGATTATCTCCACATCTCAAGATCCTGAGCTTAATCACACTTGCAAAGTTTTTGCCATGTAAGGTAAAACTTATGCGTTCCAGGAATGAGGACGTGGATATCTTTTGAGGGGCCATTTTCAGCTCACCACAGACTTCAAAGAATTAGGGCATTTCCCTTGAAATATTTACTTACTCTTTAAGAATAGATATTGTTTCTAGCACATTGTTGTTCCACAAAGCATCATGGACCCTACCCAACATAGAAATGTCACTGATAACTAGCAAAAAATATGAGCAAATCATAAGCACAATCTCAGTATTCCAACGTCTATTTCTGAAGGGGCCTTGCACCTCTGATACACTTCCTAAAGATCCCCTTTTCTGCACTGGGATGCATTTTGGTTTAGGAGTCACTGACAGGCATTACCTAAGAGTCTGATACAAGTTAGTTCAGTTTAAGCCATTTAGATTTAGGGCTTTTCAGGGTTGTTTTTGTTTGTTTGTTTGTTTTGTTTTGTTTTGTTTCGTTTGTTTTTTTTTGGCTTGTTTGCTTGTTTTGAGACAGAGTCTTGCTCTATCTGTCACCCATGCTGGAGTGCAGTGGCACAATAATGGCTCACTTCAGATTCAACCTCCTGGGCTCAAGTGATTCTCCCATCTCAGCTTCCCAGGTAGCTTGGGCTACAGGTGTTCAAGACCATGCCTGGCTAATTTTTTTATTATTTTCGTAGAGTCGATGTCTCCCTGTGTTACCCAGGCTGGTCTCAAACTCCTGGGCTCAAGCGATCCTCCTGCCTCAGCTTCCCAAGGCGCTGGGATAACAGGCATAAGCCACCATGCCTGGCCAGTTTTTTATACTTTATTAGTCACACAGGTAGGGAGCCTACATGACTAAAGTCCATTCTCCAGCAGACTATGTCTCATAAATTCCAGCTAATTACCTGAAGCAATCAAGGCAGACCAGGAATAACCTGCTAAAACCTTAGAGAAGTTTCTGGGTTATCGTCCTGTTAGTAAATCCCATCACAGTGTTTACAAGATCTGTTCTTGTCTAGGTCAATGCATCCTCAGGGACATCCCAAGGAGGGAAAGAACAAGTGACAGATCCACTGTTAATTCTTTTTCCTACACGTGAATTATGTTTTAGGCATGTTTGAGGAATGTTTGCTTATGACTGTACCCAGATATTGGTGGAACTTTTGAGGCCTTACCATTTGGAGATCAAGTATGTAGATAAATCCAGATAACCAATTTTTTTTAGGTCCATCCTGAAATGATAGAGAGAGAGTTTTCTGCAACAGGAATATAGGGAAAACAGCAGAAATGAAAGAGGACTATGTAACAGCAAAGGTTGTGAGTGGAATGTCTGCAGTTTGAACAGAAATTGGTATATTTGCTTATACTGAAGATGCCTAAGGGACTTCAGCTAAGAGAGTGATCATCAGTGTGTATAATTTATTTATAGGATATTTAGATGCTTTTATTGCACAAGATTAAAACAATTAAAGCCCACTTCCATCTGATTAATGAGAAAGTGACTTGGGTGAAATAATGGGGCTCTTATTTTTATTACAGGCCGATCTGCTTCAGTTTCATAGTTAACCTTTGTATGGAGACAATAATAAAAGTAAGACAATTTTCTTTCACTTTTTATTTGGCTTTTGCATAGAAGAAGCAGTGTACACTTGGCACCTGATATTTACAGTGCCATCTGTCTGTTGATTTTCTTGCTGTGCACAGATTCACAGTAACATTGGGGTGGGGGGAGGATCCTTATTTGAATCTTCTCTAAGAAGGTCAGCTCTGTGTGGCACCTGGATACCCTTGGGTGGTGAGGGTTGGATAGCACATGACCTTATTCAGCTCTCCCTGCTCTGTGCCTTAAGAAAATCTGTTCACCTTGGGACCACCGTTAGCGTCCAACCTCCATTTATCTTTCTAAGGTAGGGTTTAAAGTAAGGACACAAAGGCAAGATCCCTGAGTAGCTACTTCCAAGGGTAGCCTGATATTTTTCCAAGTATTGCTTTCAAGACAGGAAAGAGGGAGGAGTTTTTTTTTTTCTCTGCTAGATCATTGGGATCCTTCTTAGTGTTGCTTGAAGAAGTGGATGTATCAAAGATTCCATGCAAGACCTCGAGAGATCCCCAGGTCTTAACTAAGTTAGTTACCTTATCACTTCCCTAACAAAGACCTTTGCCCTTAGCAACTGTCCTCATGATAGAGCCTAACATTTTCTGAAGCACGTTAGGGTTTTTAAATCAGTGTTACAGATGTTGTCACATTTTCTCCTCAGAATAACCCTCTGAAGTAGTCTGGACAGGTATTAATCTTTAATTTATAGATGAAAAAATTGAGGCTAAAAGGGGTCAAGTAGCTTGCCAAAGTCATATCATTCTTAACCAAGAGAGTGGAGACTTGAGCTCATTCCTCCGAAAGCTTAATCCAAAAGCAATATTGAGCTCATTCCTCCGAAAGCTTATTCCAAAAGCGTTATTGCTAACCGTGCTAGACATACTTAGATTCCTCCCGGGACTGTGTGTATAATGTAATTGAGTGAGATTGGCTGGGATAAGAAAAATAACGGTGGGCTCAAGGGTAATCTAAAGGAGTGTGCACAATTCATTAAGGTATTGGATTGTCTTGTTCCCTTCTTATTTCCCTTCTTCTTGTGTTTCTTCCCTCTTTTCTTCCTTTCTCTCTCTATTCTCTGTAAGCAAACGGAAGCTTTACTGGGTCTCATGGAGCCATAAATTTGTCACTCCTGTCTTTCAACTTTGCAGACAATTTAAAAAGTAAAGTGCACAAATCTTGTAAATTATAATTGTCCAGCAGATGACTTTGCATAGATAAGGTTAACTTAGAGGCAATTGATGGGGTAGAGTTTGACAGTGCATTCTGTGATAGGTATGTCTAAGGTGACAGAGAAAAGATTTTGATGGGTCAGCCCAAGACTTTGTGTTGGTTCAGTTGCAGAAGGCTGAGCTGTATGGCACCTGAGAGACCATCTAGTTAAACCCTTTCATTTCCAATCATTTCAGAGAGCATGTGTGCCCTATCAGTTATCTACTGCTGCAGTCATGCTGCATAACAAACAACTACAAAACCTCAGAGGCATATTGCCATGAATGTTTATTGCTCATTGATCTTGAATCAGCTCTTATGATCTTGGCTTAGCTAGGTTCACTTGCATTTCTGTACTTGGCTGGCTGTTGGCTGATTGAGGCTGGCCTCCGCTCAAAAGACTGGGGCAACTCGAATCTGCTCTGTCTCTCATCTTCCAGCAGGCTAGCCAAGGTACGTTCTCAAGTTCAGGGCAGTGGTGCAAGAGCACAAGAGAAAACACATAGGTCTCTCAAGATGTAGTCTTAGAGGACAAATACGTTGCTCAGTCTGTTGGCCAAAGCAAGTCACACGGGGTAGAGAAGTATAACTACCTTTTGGGGAGCCACTGCAATGTTACATGGCAAAAGGTATAGGTAAAAGGAGGGTGAATGATGGAGGCATTACCAAATCTACAGGTTACCTAGCAGGTTAGGGATAGCAAAAAGACAGAGCCAGGCCTCTTATTCCACCTCCACACAAATGCCTTTCACATCATTTCTAGAGAATACCAATTTGTCTTAGACATGCCCCACTCCCCAAATAAGCCCCTGGTATTTAGAGCCTTCACATTGCTGCCAGGCTCCCTTCTAATCCTTCGGTTGTGCGAGCACCTTGTTCTCTGCCAGCAGTCAACTAATCCCTGCCAAGGTATTAACACTTAATTAAGGTGTTTGCTGTTAAAGTCCAGTAGTGGCTCCGACATTTTTCCACCAAAGAACGCTTTTAATTCCTTTTCCCTATAGACTCCACATTTGGAAATTTCTTTGTACCAGAGTTCTTAATAATTATTTCTCCCTCTAAAATATGAAATATGTGCAACTGCCAAATATAGCTTCTGGTTGGCATGAGATACTGAACTGAGCATGAAAAGCTAGACAGAAGCAAAGACTTTGACTGCTTCAGTGACGACCTGTGTTTTCATGGGTCGATGTCCAAGTTTGATTAGGCCTTTTGACCCTCACTTTTATCTTAACTGATTCCAAATTGAGAATCATGGTGAGAAGATATGCTTCTATCTTGAGCATTTTCTTGTAACTGGACTTTTCTGAGAACAAAACATACTTCCCTTCTATCCTCCAGTCAGTCTTGTATTCTCTCAAATTATGCTTGGAAAATTATTGATTATTCAAAAAAGTTTGATTATTCAGTCACACTCAGGTCACTAATCTGACCCCTGAGAAAAAGTTGGGGCAGAGGTACAGGTTCATATCGAAAATTGATGTCATTTAGCTTTTGGAAAAGACTATTTAAAAATCAAAAGAAAGTATAGCATAAATTAAAAATGGCACTGTCCCTTGGGCAGGTAATTTAGTGTACCTGTTTCTGAATTTCTGGTGATTTGAAATTCAACTCCCATAACATAAACTAAGGATGATATTAGAAGAGCCAGCAATTTCAGTATAGTAATATATTTCACAAACATGAGTTGCACTCCAAATGCATGCAAGTTTCTTGTTATCTCTGTATAACAAGAGAGATTAAATACAGAGATCATTTTACGCAGCTGGAATGTTTGGTTATTTCTATAGCTCTAGCCAAGTAGAGAAGTCAGTGAGCACTTAGAAAATGGTTTCAAGCTGTGATTTAAAAAAAAAAAAAAGAAAGCAAAGAAAGAACTTGTGTTGATTCAACTGCAGAAAGAAAAATGTTTCACTGTGGTGTGGCATCATGATATTTGAGAGACTTTGCATATATTACAGAGTATTGTAAATACTGGATAAAGTACCTGAAGCATTTGTGAAAGGAAGAATAATCCCTGTGTGCTTTTTAAATTTATCATTCACTTATTAAATACAGTAGAGGAGTTAGAGCAGTTGTGTCTAGAAGAACTTTCAGCATTAATGGAAATGTTTATATCTGCACAGACCAGACAGTAGCCATTAGCCTCACGTGGTTATCAAGCACTTGAAATGTTACTATTGCAGCTAAAAAACTGAATGTTTACTCTCCTTAAAAAAATGAACAGCATTATTGCATTGTAACTGACACACACACACACACACACACACAAACTGCCCATATTTAAAGTATGCAATTTGATACATGTTGACATATGTATACAACCATGAAGTCATCAATTTAATCAAGATAGCAAACATCTCCATCACTCTGAAGTTTTATTACAGCCTTTTAAAATTTCTCTCATGCCTTTTCCTGTCTGCCCAACCTCTGTCCCCAGGAAACCACTGATCTTCTTTCTGACACTGTATGTTAAGTTGCATTTCCTAGAATTTTATATAAATGAAATCGTTCAGTATGTTTTTTTCCTCTGGCTTCCTTAACTCAGCATAATTATGCTAAGGTTCATACATGTTGTAGCATGTGTCAATATTTTATTCTATTTATTGTTAAACAGTACTCTATAGTATGAATATAGCACAAGTTGTTTATACATTCACCTGTTGATGGACATTTGTGTGGTTTCCACTTTTTGGCTATTACAAATAAGGTTATTATAAATGTGTATATAAGCCTTTGTATGGGAATATGCTTTTATTTCTCTGGTGTAAATACCTAGGCATGAAATGGCTGGATCATATAGTAGGCATATGTTTAACATTATTAAAAGCTGCCAAACTGTTTTCCAAAGTGGGTTATACAATTTTCCATTCCCACCGAGAATGTGTAAGAGTTCCAGTTCCTCCACATTGTTTTTTTGTTTGTTTGTTTGTTTGTTTTTTGTTTTTGAGACCGAGTCTCACTCTCTGTAACCAGGCTGGAGTACAGTTGTGCGATCTCGGCTCACTGCAACCTCCACCTCCCAGGTTCAAGCAATTCTCCTGCCTCAGCCTCCCAAGTAGCTGGGACTACAGGCACGTGCCACCACACCCAGCTAATTTTTGTATTTTTAGTAAAGATGGGGTTTCACCATGTTGGCCAGGGTGGTCTCGATCTCTTGACCTCATGATCTGCCCACCTCGGCCTCCCAAAGTGCTGGGATTATAGGCATGAGCCACCGTGCCCAGCCCCAGTTCCTCCACATTCTTACTAACACTTGGTATGGTTAATCTTTTAAATTATAGCAATTCTAATAAGAACACAGTGATACTCTATTTTGTTTTCATTTTACATTTTCCTAATGACTAATGATATGGAAAATATTTTATGTGTATAGTTGTCATCTCTAAATATTCATGAAGGGCTATTCATTAAAGGCTTTTCAAAATCTTTTGCCCATTTTTTAGTTGGGTTGCTTGCTTTTTTTTAATTATTACTAATTACTACTGCAATTAAAACATTTTCTCTGTATTTATTCTATCAGTTATTGAGATAGCATTAAATCTTCAATAATAATTGCATATTTGTCTAGTTCTCCTTGTAGTTCTGTCAGCTTTTGCTTTATGTATTTTGAAACTCTGTTTTTAGGCATATAAACATTTAGGATTGTTCAGTCTTGATGAATTCTCTCTTTTATTGTTATGAAATTTATCCTTGGTAATATTGTTTGCTCTGAAATCTATGTTTTATGATATTAATAAGCATTCCAACTTTCTTTTGGTTAGTTCTAGCCTATCCTTTTCCATTGTTTAATTCAATTTATTTGTGTCTATCTATACACTGTGTTCCTTAGAGGCAGCACAGAGTTGAGTCTTGCTTTTTTATCCAATCTGATATCTCTGTCTTTTAATGGGGTGTATAGACCATTTACATTTAATGTGATTATTGATATGGTTCAGTTTATGTCCATCACCTTGCTATGTCTTTTCTATTTGTTCCATCAGGCTTTTTTTTTTGTCTCAAAATATCTTTATTTCACTTTCAATGTTGTAATATATTTTTGTTGGACATAGAACTCTAGATTGATGGGTTTTTTTTCTTTCAGTAAAGATTTAGCTCTACTGTCTTCCTATTTGCACTGTTTCTAATAAGAAATCTGATGGCAACTTTATTTTTCTCTGTTCATATATTTTCCCCCACTGGCTTCTTCTGAGACTTTCTTATTATCACTGTTTTTGAGCAATATAATTATGATGTGTTATAGTGTCATTTTCTTCATGTTTCTTGTGCCTGGAGTTGTGAACATAAAATAACATGGAGACCAGACTTCAGAATTCTCTGAACAGACAAAGCCAATTTGGCCACATAAGCGAAACTTAAAGTTATTTCTTGTAAACACTTCTGATCATCGTAAACCAATCTTAAGTTGCCTTCTAAAGATGGTATAAGATGAGCACTTTCAACCAATCCTCTGTGATCTTGAAACCTTCATGATAATAACCCATCATTTTAAAGGTTAAACAACTTCCCCATTTTTGCTGTGTAAGCCAGCCTGTAACATCATGCCTCTGAGCTTCCTCTTATGACTGGGCTTGAGGTCACTTAGTTCATGAACTATTATTTTATATGCACAATAAACTTAAAAAATTTTTAATTTGATCTGATTTTATTTTTGACAGGATTCACTGGGCTTGTTAAATCTTTAGATACATTATTTTCATTAAGTTTGGAAATTTATTCAACCATTATATCTTCAAATGCCTCTTTTGTCCCTTCCTTTGTATCCTCTTCACTAGAAAATCCACTGACACTTAAATTAGGCTACTTGAAGTTGTTCCACAGGTTGGTCATATGTTGTTCATTTATTTTAGATCATTTCCCTATGTGTTTCATTTTAAATTGTTTCTATTGGCCTGGCGCAGTTGCTCATGCCTGTAATCCCAGAGTTTTGGGATGCCGAGGTGGGTGGATCAGCTGAGGTCGGGAGTTCAAGACCAGGCTGACCAACATAGAGAAACCCCATCTCTACTAAAAATACAAAATTAGCTGGGGGTGAGGGTGCATGCCTGTAATCCCAGCTACTCGGGAGGCTGAGGCAGGAGAATCACTTGAACCTGGGAGTTGGAAGTTGTGGTGAGCCAAGATCATGCCATTGCACTCCAGCCTAGGAAACAAGAGCAAAACTCCATCTCAAAAAAAAAAAAAAAATAGATTGTTTCTATTGCTATGTCTCAAAGTTGTATTTTTAGTAGAGACGGGTTTTTGTCATGTTGGCTGGGCTGGTCTTGAACTACTCCTGACCTTAGGTGATCCACCTACCTCAGCCTCCCAAAGTGCTGGGATTACAGGCATGATCCACTGCGCCTGGCCAGTGGTGGATATTTTTATAGTCCTATCAATATTCTTGAGCTTTGTTTTGAGACACAGTTAAGTTACATGGAAGCTGTTTTTTGTTGTTTTTGTTTCTATTTTTTGTTTTTTTAGTCTTGCTTGAAGATTTCTTCAGTGCAACTAGGGCAGCGCTCAATCTGGGGTAATTATTCCCATCTATTTTGGCAAGACCTTCCTGAGTACTTTACCTAACGTCCACGGATCTTCGGCCTTTCCAGTCTTGCTGATGAAAACAGAAACCATTCCTGGCCTTGTGTGAAGGTTGGCCATGGTAACCTCTAAACGTTTTAGGTGGTTCTTTCCTCAGCCTCAAGTAGTTTCCTCACATGCTTGAATTGATCACTACTCAGTCGAATACTTGAGGGAGACATTGTACAAATCTCTGATTCTCTGGAATTTTTTATTTTTTCCTTTCACTCCTGCCTCACTTTCCCCCTACCCCAGTCTCTCTCCAGCTCTCCCCTCTGGTACTCCGTCTGGAAAACTCCAGCTCCTTTTGTCTCTTTGGTCTCTTAGCTCAGTCAACAAAACTCAGGGAACTGATCTTTTCCTGGGTTCCCCCTCCCTGCACCACATCCTGGAAATTCTTTCTTAGGCCTTGATTTTTTTAATATGAAAAAATGAAAGTGTCTACAACCAATTGGTAGGGTTATTTTAAAGAATGAGATCTGATCTTTAAAGCACATAGCTAGTAAATATTCAATAAATGAAAAATCCTTTTCCTGTACATAGCATTATGTATTCTGTATACTTTCCTCAAGAATAATTTTGACAAATGACAGTTCATTCACCACTTCTGAGTCAGCCACAGGGAAACCTGTTTCTCCCTTTTGTTGTTCTGGGGCTCTTGTATCCCATAGCATCTTCTCTCACCAGTATGGTTGTCCTAGACTGGTTACCTGTCTCTTCCTTCGTTTCTGCAAAACACCTCTAATGCTAGGGGAAATATTTGCTAGACGACTTTATTAAGATTTACAGAGAGTAGTTATTACACACAATGAGAGAAAACTTTTAGATCAGTGTTGGTTATTAACATTTCTGAAAGCATCAGACATTTTTAGCTACAGGGAAATTCTCACTGGCTGTGTGAATTATTAGCAGGTCCTGGGGTTTTTCTCTGACTCCCACCCCGTGGCCTGTGTGTATGTGTGTGTGTGTGTGTGTGTGCATGTGCGCGTGTGTGTCTATCAGTCTTTTTCTCTCTTGCTTTCTTCTTGTATCTTTCTGTGTACATATTTCTCTTTTGTTTCTCCTTCTATTCCCTAATGTCATTTCTGTATCTCTGTCTGTTAGTCTGTCTCTCCCTGTATGTATCCCTTCTCTTATCATTCCCTTTTTGATTTATTTAATTTCCCACTCACCATTACCAAATTCATTTTACTCTTCCATGGAGGCCATCCTAGCTCTTTGACTTTTTCCAAACAGACCTTTGGCCTGCTTTTGCATATACTGACACTCAATATAGAGCTTCTTGTAAACAAAGACCCAAACATTTCCCCAGGTTTTCAACTTTCCTAATACAGAAAGCTGTCAAAAACTTTGAGATTACAACTTTTCTTTTAGCACATCTGAGATCAACTTCAAGCCCACAGTAGAGTTAACAGGATAAATTCACCTATTACCACAGGAAATCTAACAGAAGCTTCCTCAAGACACCTTCTTCTCTATGATGGTCTTTGGAAGGATTTCTACTTCACATTAAAAGGAGAGCATCCTCATGTTAATGACCCAACCTTAGGAAGCCATTTAAAATGTGTTAAAACCAGTGTAGGAACTCTCCACACAGATCATTGTGTTTGGACTTTATTTTTAATTTTTATTTTTACTTTTGTACCGTAGTGGTATGCTTCTGAGCAGAGAATCAGGTCTGGAGAGATGGGTAGAGAAACTTCCTGAATTCTTGCCAGTCTTTCAAATGACCAGCCATCATGGCAGGAACTAAGACGAGTAATGTTGTTTAAAAAGAGAAAGAAAGAGCCAGGTGCGGTGTCTCACACCTCTAATCCCAGCACTTTGGGAGGATGAGGCGGGTGGATCACTTGAGGTCGGGAGTTCAAGACCAGTCTGGCCAATATGGTGAAACCCAGTCTCTACTAAAAACACAAAAATTAGTTGGGTGTGGTGGCACCTGCTTGTAATCTCAGCTACTTAGGAGGCTGAGGCAGGAGAACTGCTTGAACCTGGGAGGCAGAGGTTGCAGTGAACCAAGATTGTGCCACTGCACTCCAGGCTAGGTGACAGAGCAAGACTCTGTCAAAAGATAGAAAGAGAGAAAAAGAGAGAGAGAGAAAGAGAGAGAGAAGAAAGAAAGAAAGAAAGAAAGAAAGAAAGAGAGATTGGTAACTATGTGAGGTGTTGAATATGCTAATTAGCTTGATTATGGTAATTAATTCACAATGTATACATAAATTATCAATTATACCTCAATAAAGCTGAATAAAAGTAATGTATTATCTCATCTCAACATCAATATTCACTGCCTTCAAAGAATTTATCCCAGTGTGTAATTATGCATGCATTTGTTTAATTGATTACAAACTATCTTCCTTACTAAACTATTACTTCTGTGAGGTCAAAAGACCATGTCTGATTTATGCATAATTCACTATCCAGTCCCTAGCCAGTATCTGCCCTTTTAAACACCTGATAAATATTTAAATCTAGTTCTGAGAAAGTAGGTTCTTCCAGACACAAATTAGTGTCCAGTAAAATACAAACAAAGTGTTATGTTTATCAGCTAGTTCCAACAGTATTGGTAAGAGAGAGAAGTTGATGTCTTTTCCAGATTATGCTACTGTTTTAGGGTTTTAAATAATCAAAGATGATAATTGGTGTCTACGCAAGCACCATTTCTTCTCAAATAAGGGAGAATTACAAATCTTAGAGCTAACTGGAAGAAAGCATGTCCAGACAGAGGTCTTACTATTTTGGGGATTTTGTTGGGGTATGATTGAAGAGGATGGAGTGAGAGAAAGAGCAAAACAGGAGACAGATATTGACAGACCAATCCAAGATTAGAGAACCCTTGAACTCCCTATAGCCCTTGGGTAGACAGTTGTGTAGGAAAGGGAAGTGTGTGGGTATGTATGTACCAAGTGGAATTATCAGAGCTATTGGAGGAATCAGATCTACAAGAGAGCTCACATGAGTTTATTTTATCACAAAGACCTGGCAGTAATAATTATGCTAATTTAAACCTGGAAGGATGTAGACTAAAATGTCAACAATGTCTTGAGTACTGGAATTCTGAGTGATTTTTTTTCTACTTTGTGTTTTTATGCATTTTCCCAATTTTTCTATAATGAACACATGCATAATATATCATCAGAAAGTTTTAAAAATGCATAACTTTTTCCATTTATGTTTGGTACAAACTATTTGTTTCATAATCTCCTGGAATGCAAATGAAAATTTACCCTAGAAAGCACACTTTAAGTATTACTGAGTTATCAGGTAATTTGGCAGCCTTAATGCTTGAAATATTTTATTGATGTTAGAGTACTTAAGCTGTTAAAACTTTTTTTTTAACTTAAACTTTCAGAAGAGTGAGTTTTTTCCATTTTTGATGCAGTACTAATTTTTGGCTAGAAGTTTTACAGCTTGACATGCCACCTGACCTCTGTACCTTCTATTTGACCTAATGTATCTATAGATCATTTAAATGAGCTCATTTGACTCAAGAGAAAATCCTTACATGTCAATTTTCCATGTAAATGAATTCTGTTTTAAAGACTAATACTTTCATTGGAAGCTGATTATAAAACTGTGCTATTAATTTTGACATTTTATATTCACTTCAGACTTTCTATATTATTATGTTTTATTACCCACGCTGCAGAATATAAATAAATGTGTTTTATTATTTGCTTGGGATTTTAACTAAGGCTTAATGGATTTTATTCTGGCATACTTTAATGTCCCCACAATTCGTCTACTTGCAAAGTACTTTAGTTACAAATGAGCCAATTTCCATTAACATACTTCCTCTACACTGCAAAGTATCTGCTTTAGAACAGGCATATTTTAAAACTAAAATAAAACCCCAACTAGTTGGTGTCAGCTTTTGTCTTGCTAGTATAATTTCTATCAACATGTTTTAGAAATTTTATTAATCTGTTATATTTGAAATGTCATTGTTTTCCTCTCTGGTTATTGCTATTCCAAAGATCCTTTAACCATCACAGTAAATCACAGAGTTCCTCTAGACTTGAATGCCCAATACAGGAGCCACTAACCACATGTGGCTACTGAGAACTTGAAATGTGGCTACTCCAAATTGATTTGTGCTGAAAGCATAAAACACATACTGGATTTTAAAGACCTATTATGAAAAAAATGAGTGAAAATGTGTTACTGATACATGCTGAAATGGTGATATTTTGGTTATATTTTGTTAAATAAAATGCATTATTAAAATTAAACTCACCTCTTTATTTTTCCTTTTAATGCAGCTACTGGAAAATTTAAAATTATATTTGTGACTCACATTTGATTATAATGTGATTATAAAATTGTTCTATTAATTTTGACATTTTATATTCACTTCAGACCTTCTATATTATTATGTTTTATGGTTCACATTATATTTCTATTAGACAGTGATACTTTAGAGCTTGTTTCTTCACCAAGGGGATATGCTCAACCAAAATGTGTTGGTGAATGAAGCCCCCAGTCCCTACATACATCAAGCCTTGTCAAGATAATATCCACCCAAGCTTTCTCCCACTATGTCAGTGTTCACTGGACCTCACTGATGTTTCTTGCTGAATATGGCAGCACAGGAATTTTCTCTTATCTAACCTCTGGATTTGCTTTTGGGAAACGTTTCCTGTTAACCATTGGCAAATGTGAATCCCAGTCATTTTTCATTAGATAAGGCTGAGTCCTTATATAATAGATCAAGGGTTAGCACAGCAAACCAGCATACAAGAATTTGAAATCAGCAATCAGAGCTTAGTGAAACAGAAAATCACTTGCTTGGGCTAATAGTGGTTGCTTGTGTCTGCAATTTAGTGGTGTATGTGTATGCCTTCAATCCACAGGAGTCAGCATGACATGTAAGAACACACCGATATCATCATAGCTTCTCCAGTTTGTTGTCAAGAGCTTTCTACCTTTTACAAAGAGTCTTCAGAGCCTGAGACACTCGTAAGCGTGCATATATTCTTGCTTTTTTGGTAAAGGCTTGTGACGCAGAAGAAATGATAAATACCTAAATTGAAAGCAAGGGCTTGACATTCCTAAGTTTCTTATGTAACTGAGAGAATTGTTTAAAAGCAGAAGGTTCCACAGAAGTGTACTTTTTAAAAATTTATCTGAAAACATAGCAGTATAGTAGCACTAATAAGTTGAAACATCCTCTTGTCATGGTAATTTTATTGATGAAAGCTGGCATTTAGTTTAAAAATAGTAAATATAAAAACATCAATTTGAATTGTACTACTTTTTGTTAGAGATATAAAATGTTAATAGCTCTTAAGTATTTTAATTTATAGGTTGTCACTTCTAATATATTTTAATACACACTTCTTATATATTTAATAAAAATAATCTTAAATATTTTAAAATCTGCTATCATATAAATAACTAATTATTTTACATGTCTATTTTTATGACTGTTTTTAGGAGAACATGATTTAGCATTTGTTTGAAAAATTCTAATTCTCTTTTTTTTTTTTCGAGACAATTCTCTCTCTCTCTCTCTCTTTTTTTTTTTTTTTTTCCCTGTTGCCCAGGCTTGAGTGCAGTGGCATGGTCACAGCTCACTGCAACCTCCACCTCCCAGGTTCAAGCAATCCTCCCACCTCAGCCACCAGAGTAGCTGGGACTACAGGCACACATCACCACACCTGGCTGGTGGTATTTTTGTATTTCTTGTAGAGACAGAGTTTTGCCATGTTGGGCATGAGTACAAGAATATGTAAAAAAAACAAAAAAACAAAACACAGCAAATCTACCACAGGTTTCTTCTATCTTTGAGCTCTACCTGCAGTGGGGATAGATATATGAGTTCTTTCTCACTTCATGGTCCAAGAGGACTGCTGAAACTCCAGCCATCACATCAATTTTCTAGGCAAGAATCAGTAGAAGCAGGGAAGATCAAATAGGGCTCATTCAGCCTGCCGTCTCATTCTAATGAGCTTTCCCTAAAGTCTCACTAAAACGCTTGTGCTTGCATTCCATTGACCACCTGTGGGTACAAGAGATACTGAGAAATATGGTCTTTTATATAATACCTCGTGCCTATATAAAATCAGGATTCTGATGCTATGGAAGTGGATATTGAGACAACAACCAGCAGTATCATACACATTAATCAAAGGTACCAACTTTCAGTTTGCTCTGATTGTTGGCCACCATTATCAGACATCCTAACTTTTCAAAAGAAACTACAAACAGAAGTTTTATGTGAAATCTCCTGTATTTTAAATGTTAGCATCTCATTCAAATAAATTTTAAATTTTTATTATGAATTTTTTTTTTTTGAGATGGAGTTTCTCTCTGTCACCCAGGCTGGAGTGCAGTGGCACAATTTTGGCTCACTGCAAGCTCCACCCCCTGGGTTCACACCATTCTCCTGCCTCAGCCTCCCAAGTAGCTGGGACTACAGGTGCCCACCACCATGCCCAGCTAATTTTTTTGTATTTTTATGAAATAATTTTAGGCCTACAGAAAACTTGCAAAAAAATGGTATAAATATTTCCATATGTTCTTCATCCTTAATGTTAACATATTGTATAACCATAATACAATTACCCAAAATTGGAATTTTAAATTGGCACAATACTATAAATGAAGAATTGGCATTATTTTGTAGTAAGCCAGATAGGAACTATTTTAGGTGTCTGTCACTACGACTTAATTCCGCTATTGTAGTGAGAAATTAGTCATAGACAATGCGTAAACAAATGAAGGTATCTGTGTTCCAATAAAACTTTATTTACAAAAAAAAAAAACAGATCTAGGAAGGATTTGGCCATGGGCTGTAGTTTGCCAACTCCTGCTGTAAACTGAACTTATAGACCTTGTTTGATTTCATCAGTTTTCTCATTAACATCCTTTCTCTGTTCAGTCCAAGATCCAAAATGTATTTAGTTGTTGTCTCCTTAGTGTCTTGCAAACTGAGTTATTTTTCCTTCCTCTTTTGTGAATTTGACTCTTTTGAAGTGTACTATTCAGCTATTTTGTAAAATATCCCTCAATTTGGATTAGTCTGAAGGCTTCTTGTGATTAGATTGAGGTTATCTATAATACAGATGTGTGCACATGCATGGGTTAGTACACATATGTATATTTCCTAACTCTGAGAGAACCTACAGTTAATGACACCCCAGTAGCAAACAGCGCACCTCTTATTTTAGTTTATTTGTGCACTATAACAAAGTACCCGGGATTGGGTGACTTAGAAACAATAAAATTTATTTCTCGTGATTCTGGAGTCTGGGAAATCCAAGATCAAAGCACCACCAGGTTCAGTGTCTGGTGGAGGATCCTTCCTCATCGATGGCACCATCTCGGTGTCTTCATGTGGTGGAAGGAATGGAAGGGCAAAAGCAGCTCTCTGAAGCCTCTTTTATGGCCGTAGATCCTGTCCATGAGGGCAGGGCCCTCATTGCCTAATCATCTCCCAAGGGCCCCACTTGTTAATATTATCACCTTGGGGGTTAAGTTCCAACATATAAATTTTTGGGGGGACACATACACTCAAACTATAGCACCTAGCACCCAGATCTTGGTGGTTTCTAAACACCATTCTCCAATAAAAGAAAATGAGTCTCCTTGAAGAAGTGATTGAGTCCATGGCTGGGGCAGGGAAACTATGAGAACTGCTCAGAATTTTTGTGTTGCCAAAAAGGAAGGTAGCACACAAAAATAATAAGAACATGTACACAGGACACGGAAACCAACATGCAGGAGCCCCAAGTGGCCAGAACTGGAAAAATTGGGGCAACCAAATATAAAATCATTTTGCATTATATGCAAGAGTTTTGCATTATAACCCTTAGAATAAAATAAATATCCACATGTACATGGTGATATAAATGAATAAATAATTGAATAAATAAATAAATAAATGGGGGAGAAGGGACAGCTCTCCTTGACTGAAGAATTCTAATTAATAAACATAGAAGGAATGAGAGAAACAGAAAATTACCATTTGGCAAATAGCATAGTAACAATTGTGGCAGACACAATCTACTGACAGATACTAAAAATATTGGGACAAAGTTTGTAGAGAGCAGGATGTTTGCATAATCTTAAATGTCACCCTCAAGATATTTATTGATTGCAAAGGGAAAAATATAGTAACTTTTTATGGTGTGACAGACCCCACCTTAACCAAATGAAGAAGGTTAACTTCACCAGTAATAACACATGACATCATAAACCTCCCACTTCAAACACTGATTTGGTTAATCAGTGAAAAGATTTTGCCCTTGGGTCATCAGTTTGCAACCTTTACCGTATAGTACACTTTTGATAGTATTTAATTTGCTACAGCTTTGCCATTACAAAAGTAATACAGAAATAATTTATGTTTTCCTACCTCTTAAAAAATAATGTATTTTTTTGCCAATTAGAAAAATGTTGAAGTATGACTCATTTACAGTAGGTTAAATGAAGTATACACGTTTGATATTCCCTGTATTCAAATGCTAAGATTGGTAGGATTTCTAGAAAGAAAACAAAGGCCATACAACTTCAGGAACTGCACTAGATTTAAAAATTATGAAGATTCTAATTGGCAAAGCCTTTGGACCAGGCATTCCAAACTCATAACTTCCACTTTTACTATTCTGTTGAATTAATCATATCCCAGAGCACACCTCTTTGGTGTCTAGCATACATAGTTGATCATCCTTTTTGGTCGCTAATACTTTTTTTTCTTTTACTTTAAGTTCTGAGATACATGTGCAGAATGTGCAGGTTTGTTACATAGCTATACATGTGCCATGGTAGTTTGCTGCACCCATCAACCCGTCATCTAGGTTTTAAGCCCTGCGTGCATTAGGTATTTGTTCTAATGTTCTCCCTCCCCTTTGGTCACTAATACTTTTAAATACTTGGTGAAAAATCCTTGTGCCTTTCCCCTTCAGCCATATAATCAAAGTTCTATTTATACTTTTATTTGCTTAAAAAAAATCCCTGTACTCAATTTTGACCTGCATTTAGTTAACATCATTTTCACTTAGAATCACTTATTCTTATCAGGATTTCAGTTTATTGAACACAACACCCAAGGTAGATGAATTCCAGAAGTTAAATCGCTGTGTGCAAGCCATCACAAATACAGACAGAGCTGCTGAGGCTATTACTTTTTGACTGCGATGTTTCTAAGTCAATTGAACTGTGATTGTCCTTTATATATATTTCAGTTGACTTCTTAAATTTAAACTTCTGAGCAATCATATTCAAGAAAAGTAGCCAATGGCCCACCAAACAGGATCCATAAGCCTAAAAAGACATGAGTTTGGAAGCTGTGTCTGTGGATTCAAACTTAGGTGAGAATTTGTTTAGAATGGGAAACTTATTTATGACAAATAACCAAGTTAAAAAGCTGACAATGAAAACATCACAAAATCAGAGAGACAAGGTACCTTTATTAAGAAACTGCCCACCCCACCTCTATAATACCTTGACTCCTACAAATATGGGCTGTAAATGTTTTGATTATCTCTCTACCTTTAAATATAAAAATTATTTTGAAACATCATTCTATAGAGAAAATAGAAATATAACACAGCCTTTCCTCTAGGATGTCAAATTAATTTTTTTTCTTATTACTGAAATTTTAAAAAATGCCTTTTGGAGTCATAATTTGTTATTTGTAATGGCACATACTTTTTTTAGCATTATCAAACTTTGGAAAATCTTTATTGCATTTCTTGAATATAACATATCAGTGCATTTAAAATTTACTCATATAATGACTAGTTTTAATACTCTTTAAACTGATTAAATACATCACCAGTTGCTCATCAATGTCTTCCTTGTTCTGACTACGACGAGTTTGTGTTCTCTCCATACTTGTTACTATTTTGTGTCAAATCTGTAAGAATTTAAATATTTCCCCATGTTCATGATTCACTTTTCTTCATTAATTAAATTTATCGAATAAGAACCAAAACATTACTTCTATTCAAAATTTTCCTTCTAATAAATTGTTGCTGTTGGTGTGTGTTGAAAATTCTTTTGCCGTAAGGGGCTTCTTGATATAAGAATAATTTTTATTGATTTAATCATTTAATTGTTTTTTCATGTTCCATTCATTTATTTCTTAGCTTTTCTTCCATTACATCGTAAATAAATTTAAAGATGACCAAAAATGGTACAGTCTTATTTTTATGCAATCAAAGCAGAAAAGTTTAATTTCTCTCTTGTTTTAATAATAACCTTCAAAACATCTTTCCTTATTGCAGTTAAATGATATATTCCCACCTTGACAATTTTCTAAACCATATTTCTGTAAATTTTTGCAAATACTTTGTAGCATCCTCAGCACATAGTTGCACCCATGTTGCAGGGCTTATGAAGCTTTATAAAAGGCAGACTTCCTCCAGGCACATACATCTAGTGTTGCAGGGCACAGTTATATGCAATATGCCCTCTCATCCTGCATGTTTGTTTGTGTGTGTGTGTTCCATTTTATTTTAAAAATTTTTTAAATTTTTAATTTTTGTGGGTATGTAGTTAGTGTATATATTTATGGGTTATGTCAGATATTTTGATACAGGCATGCAATGTGTAATAATCACATCAGGGTAAATGGGATGTCCATCACCTCAAGCATTTATCCTTTGTGTTTCGAACAATCCAGTTATACTCTTAGTTATTTTAACATATGCAATTAAAATTTTTTTTTACTATAATTATGCTACTGTGCTAGCAAATACTAGGTCTTTTTCATTCTTTCATCCTGAATCTTTGTGCTATGATGCCGGTTGAGTCAGTACATGGAGATGCTGGAGAACTCCTGGAAGCCATTCCTACAGTGGAATGACTAGCGAAGATGAACTATAATGGAAATTGAGTGCAAAACACATACATATATCCCATTAATTACAAACCAAATGCATTGCCAACAACCTCCCTCTTAGCTGGAGCCCCCAAATAACCATAGCTACCCCAACTCCAAGAAACACCTAGAAAGAAATGTGATACTGAAAGTCATTGTTAAAAATTCTTATTTGATACATTTTGTAAAGATATATGACCATGTGAACATATTTCTAGGGCTTTTCCCAAGCCCATAATGTCCACGAACAAGTGAGTGGCCTTGAGCTTTTGGCTTCATTGGCTTCATGCAACATACACCTCTGTTCCTTAATGTGCAAGAGAATATCGAAAACCAAGTCAATGAGGACACTGATGACAAATAAGTAGCTGAAGGTTGGCAATTCAAAGAAAACGAGTGCCTTGAAAACTTACACTTGAGAGAAGTTTCTCAAATTTGACAATAACTCTTAAAAATATCATACTTTGGTACTAAAAACATAAATAAATCTCCGTAAACTACAAATTAAAAAAAATTTTTTTGGATCAGCCAAGCTGGGCCTTTTTTGGAATGTGCTTGTGGAAGTAAATAACCTCGATTTTGTGGTTTAGTCATTCATTTATGCTTCAGTTTCTGTTACAAATTTTCTGCTACATTTGTAATGCGCAAGCAATCTAGAATGGACGGGCAGTGTTCTGTTGCCCACAGACTAAGATTGGCTGACATGAGGTGCTATTGCATTACTCATATTTGGGTGAAAAGGAAACATCCTGAGTCAGGTCTCTATTGCCATGAAAATGCTACATAATAAGCAGCCACAAATTTATTTATACATTTATTTAGCTCACAAACTTGTGAGGTTCAGCTGATCTAGACTGGGCTTGCTCATGCATCGTCAGGCAACTGCAGTGGGTGGACTAGATAGCTCGGGTGATTTGGCTGGATTTGCACATACTTCTCAGGTGACCGTTCCCTAATCTAGGCTGCCTTTGCCCAGGGTGACCAGGGCCACATGGCTTCTCTTCTTATGTGTCTCATTCTGCACCTGCCAGCTGGACAGATTTCATCATGATGGCAGAGATGCAAGAACAGTTCGAAATGCACAAGTATTTGAAAATGTGGAGATGTCAGTAATGTCCCATGGAGCAAATCAAATCACATGGCTAAACCTAGAGCCAGAGAGGGAGTGACCTACAATGTTACCTGGTAAAAAGCACTTATACAGTGAAAGATGAAGAATTGAGGCCGTATTTTATTTTTGTAATCTATCATGGCATCTGGAACTGAACCCTTGGTTTTTCTAACCAACACATTTAAATCTGATTCTCTCCAGTTCAGTAAATAGAACTCCTATCCATCTTGATGCTCAGGCCAAAATACTTTCCCTTGCACCTCAAAGCCATCAATAAGTCAACTAAAGTTTCAAAATACATCTAGAATTGAACCACGTCTCACTGTTCCCACTACTGCTCCTACCCTTGTGCAAACCCGCTGCCATTCTTCACCTGTGCAAACTTGATAGCCTCTTAACTAATATTCCCACTTTCAGTTTTTCCCTCCTGCAGTGTTTCCACCAATTCCAAGGAAACTTTTAAAATGTAAGTTAGATCATGCACCCGCTGCTCCACGCTCGTCAATGGCTTCCTCGTTTTATTGGACTTTATTGTAAGACCAATAAAATCTTCCAACAGACACCAGGCACGGTGGCTCACACCTGTAATCCCAGCACTTTGGGAGAATGAGGGGGGGAGGATCACTTGAGGTCAGGGGTTCAAGACCAGCCTGGCTGGGAAACCCTGTCTCCACTAAACATACAAAAATTAGCTGGGCATGGTGGCACACGCCTGTAGTCCCAGCTACTCGGGAAGCTGTGGCAAGAGAATCAGTTGGGCCTGGGAGGTGGAGGTTGCAATGAGTCGAGATGGCGCCGCTGCACTCCAGCCTGGGCGATAGAGCAAGCCTTCTAAAAAAAAAAAAAATCTTCCATTGGATTCTATTGGGACTTACAATAAAATCCAAAATATTTACTGTAGCCTGAAAAGCCATGCGTGGTCTGGTCACTGGCTACTTACCTTGCCTTTTTAAAAATTAATTTATTTATTTATTTATTTGAGACGGAGTCTCGCTCTGTCCCCCCAGGCTGGAGTGCAGTGGCGCGATCGCGGCTCACTGCAAGCTCCGCCTCCCGGGTTCATGCCATTCTCCTGCCTCAGCCTCCCGAGTAGCTGGGACTACAGGCGCCCGCCACCATGCCCAGCTAATTTTTTGTAGTTTTAGTAGAGACGGGGTTTCACCATGTTAGCCAGGATGGTCTCGATCTCCTGACCTCGTGATTACACGAGGTGTAATCACACGTGATTACAGGCGTCAGCCACGACGCCCGGCCTTGCCTTGTTTTTATACCACTCTTTTCTCACTGACTCTGCTTCAGCCAAACAAGTCTTCACTGTTATTTATAAACATTGATAACCTCAGGACATTTGTACATGCTAACTCCCTGGCCTGGATGACATTTTGTACATGCTAACTCCCTGGCCTGGATGACTGTTGACCCTGCTGTTGTCTATAACACTCACTCACTCACTCAGTTCATTCAAGTTTCCCTTCGAATGAACTTCTTAACCTCTTTCTCTAGTAATTTTCTGTCACTCTCATTCTAGACCAGCTCTTTTTCTTTCTTCATGGTACATGTTAATAGTGGATATTATAAAGTATATTTGAATTTTAAAAAATAGCCTAAAGGAATAAAGTTCTAGAAGCATTACAGCTAGAATGAAAATATTTCCAAAACATGATATATGGGAGAAGTGACAGCACAGGAAAATCCTACCACTGAAATATTAAAGTCTATTGCTTCTGGACATTTTAAATGTATAGTTTTTGTGATAGCTAAATATTACCTTTACCTGGAAAGCTTTTAGTCATGCTCTATTTTCTGAACTATATTTCCCAGTTAATATTAGAAGTACATTAAACACACACACACACACAAAAACTATGAATGGCTTTGATAGCAAGCTTTGTGCTCACTGGCTACATTCTTTTTTTTTTTTTTTTTTTTTTTTTTTTTGAGATGGAGTCTCGCTCTGTCACCCAGGCTAGGAGTGCAGTGGTGCGTTCTTAACTCACTGCAACCTCCTCCTCCCGGGTTCAAGCGATTTTCCTGCCTCAGCCTCCCGAGTAGCTGAGATTACAGGTGCGAGCCACCATACTTGGGCTAAGTTATTTTTGTATTTTTAGTAGAGACGGGGTTTCACCATGTTGGCCAGGCTGGTCTCAAACTCCTGACCTCAGCTGATCCGCCCACCTCGGCCTACCAAAGTGCTGAAATTACAGGCGTGAGCCACCACACCTGGCCAACATTCTTGCTCCTATATAGCTGTGGAGCCTTCAGGGAGCACTCCAGCATGCTAGGAATATCTGGATCACTGTTAAGTGATGCCAAGCCCGAGTCCTTCGATTGAGCCACGGGAAGAGGAGCCCATATAATGGTGGGAAACCCTTTATATCCAGGGTTTAATCCTTCGCTGTGCCACAGAGAGACGTCTTTGGCAGTCTCCAGAAGACCAGGTACCAATTTTTACAAAATGTTTTATTTTGCATATTTATCGAGATAAAATTTATGAAACAATTAACTCGTTTAAAATGAACAACTTAGTGACATTTAGTACATTCAAAAAGTTGTGCAACTACCACCTCTATCTAATTCCAAAACATTTCCATTGCTCCAAAATAAAACCCTGTACCCATTAAGCAGTTACTCCTCATTTTCCTGTTCCCAAGTCTCTGGTAACCACAAATCTGCTGTCTGTCTCTGTGGATCTACCTATTCTGGATAGTTCATATAAGTACACTTATAAAATATTTGACTTTTTGTGCCTGCCTTCTTTCCCCTGACATGTTTTTGAGGTTCATCCACACTAGCATGTATGAGTACTTTATTCTTTTTTCTGTTGAATAACATCCGACTGATTGGATATACTGCATGTTATTTATCCAATCACCTCTTGATGGTCATTTGGCTGTTACAACACCTTTTGGCTATTATGAATAGTATCATTATGAACATTCCTATACTACATTTCTGTTCAGTGCCTGTTTTCAGTTTTTTGGGGTATATACCTGGGAGTGGAATTGCTATTATCACAGTGGCAACATAATTTTTTAATGTGTAAAATAAAATACCTAGGATTATTTTTAAAAGGCAATAATGTTGATACAGAGCTATCAAAACATTAAATAAAATAAATGTGTGTTATGGTGATATATATTTCTTGATTTTGCAGTATAAGAAGATCTAACAGCAAGTCTACTAACTGCTGTGCATTCAAAGTATACATGATATTTCCAGGCATCTGCAACACTTGTAATATGAAAGGGTTTGTGTTTTTTTGGTCATAGCTCCTTCCAGTATTATTGGGATTTATTGACTGTTAAAGACTAATAAAAATAAAAATAACTTTTTTTCTATCCAGATTCATGGAACCCTTGAAGTCTATCTAATTGAGCTCAGGGACAGTTACGACCCCCAGTTAAGAATCCCTGTTTTAAAGAAGGAGAGTGATGGTGAAAAACTCACTTCCTAGTAGCACATTTATCTCTGTCTAACTCTCTCACCACTCTTCTCCCATCTCATCTTTTGTCTTAGGAAATCTAAACTCAGCAGAATCAGCTTGGACAGGTGCAGATTCATTGAAGTGAAGGTTAGTGAATTCACACACTCCAAAGACATTACAATGGAGTTGTAAACTGTTATCTTTTACCATTTTAGGTGTCAGATTAAATTTAAGTTAATTTCCATATAACTTAAACACAGGAATTAAAATAGCTTTTCTAAACCTAATGTTGTGTAGTACCTTACAGTATCTAAAGTTCTCACACATACATCATTGTATTTAATCCTCTGAAAATTGTGTAAGTAGGTGTTATAGAGGAAGTACACCCTGTTATTACCTTGGTTTTAGGATGAGGAAGCCCAGAGGCAGAACAATGTAGTCAATTAAGTTTACAAGGCAAACACAATGGGCTAGAACCTGGGTCATCTAGTTAATACAAGCTGTAAGTGCTTTTTCTATTGGAGCAGAAAATCAATATATCTAAACATAATTGTTCACTTGGCTTTTCAGTGTAAAGAAGAGTTACTCCAAAAATAAAAGCCAACACATTATAAATTGCTCTCTAAATGGGGAAAAAAAAGCAGTAATGTGATAATAGTATAGTTCACAGTCCTAGAAACTCAATTCTTCTATTGTCTCAAAGGAAATGTCTCAAAAAGGCCAGAAACTCAAACCAGATATTTTCCTGTAGGAAAAGGTGAAGATGTTTTCAAAAACTGAGTTTTATTATTACCTGAAAAGAAAAATAAAATAGTGCTCAATCTGTATTTGGAGAAATCCCCAAACAGAATATTGTTCTGTATGCTCTGAGAATTTTCTCTAGAGAGGATTTCCTTCACTGGACAAATGCATAAATAATTTCTGCCAAAATGCAGTCCCGTATGTCATAGTTTTCTTGTTTTGAATGAAAGAAAATCCATTTGTGAGTGGGTTAGGTTTTCTATGCACCAAAAGTTACTTATTCAATTTTTAGAGTTTCTATTATGTTGCTTTCTCCTCTGGACACAGAACATACCTTATTCCAACAGTGAAGGGAAAGAAAAAATGCTGAGCTCTGGCTATAAATATTTTATCATGTATAGAGACAAAGATCACAGGGGGGCAGATGAGGAGCAGGAAACAAATGTGATGTTGTTTTCAAATCCTCAGAGGAGGTTTATATTAAACTGTCTCTGCCAGCTTGTTTTCTGCCTGGCTTTTACACTGTCAAACCCGGTAATGGAATGATTTTGTGTACTTGGAGTTCACCTACTGGATGAGGAATGCAGCATCTAACTGAAAGTGTTAAAATTATCCGTGTTATAAAGTATACACAAAGAAAAATTGGCAGAGTGATGAAGACATATTTCTAAGAAAGATGATCCATATTAATTTTTTTTGGAAAGGTTCTATCCTAGTAAAGACAATAGGTTAAAAAATATGTTGTATGTTGAGTTTTCTCAATTCAGTTTATTATTTTTCTCCTCTTAATCTAATGTCTCAGAGTTGTTGGAAGGTTTTAATCTAATGGGATCTAGCATCTTTCATGATTTTGCAACCCATTGGAGTTTATTTGGCTAGAACTCAATATTAATGAGGACAAGGTCTTGAGCCCATTCTCCATAAAGGGAGGACAAAATGCTATTTTCCTAACATAATGGCACAGACCATGTATCAAACCTGCTACTCACAAAATTGCATCTCTGGGTACAAGGAAAAGTGGATGAAAGGGTGAGTAATACAACAGCCGTTCTAAATTGCAGATCTGATGGAACCCTTCCAGTCTCTAAGTTACCTTGAAATGTATTTGCATAAGGGGCTGCCATCCTTGAGTGTGAGGAGGGGAAAAAAGCATGCAGAGACTGTTTATACTAGTAGAGCTGATAGTAAATCTTCCTTCCGTTTTATATACCATAGAATTTTAGAGTTTAAAATGTTTAAAGTTTAAATTTTAGAGTTTTTAAACTCTAAAATTCTATGGTATATAAAACAGAAGAAGGCTCA
This sequence comes from Homo sapiens, assembly GCF_000001405.40. Classification (NCBI taxonomy): domain Eukaryota; kingdom Metazoa; phylum Chordata; class Mammalia; order Primates; family Hominidae; genus Homo; species Homo sapiens. The sequence continues at coordinate 9,718,124 of NC_000020.11, read as the reverse complement.
TTAACTCTGAGATATGAATATATTATTGATATTGGTCACTTACCAATGTGCCTAATAGTATACTCATATCTCAGAGTCAGGTGCCATTTGTAATGCAGTTGTTATATGTTTTGAATGCATATCATGAATGAGCATCTGATTTCCAACATCCCCAATATAGGAGTAAAATGTCCAGAGAATCTATTTAAATGAAGTACAAAATGGCGGCCGAGCGCTGTGGCTCACACCTGTAATGCCAGCACTTTGGGAGGCCGAGGCGGGTGTATCACCTGAGGTCAGGAGTTTGAGACCAGCCTCGCCAACATGGCGGAACCCTGTCTCTACTAAAAATACAAAAATTAGCCAGTCATGGTGGCGGGCACCTGTAATCCCAGCCACTCGGGAGGCTGAGGTAGGAGAATCACTTGAACCTGGGAGGCAGAGGTTGCAATGAGCCAAGATGGTGCCACTGCACTCCAGCCTGGGCAACAGAATGAGACTTGGTCCTTGGTCTCAAAAACAAAACAAAACAAGAAAACAAAACGAAATGGCATAAACTTATGTGAAAACTTAGTTATGCTTAGCTAGGACATTTAGGATTGTTTGTTTGCTTGTTTGTTTCTTTATCAAATTATTCGCAGATATCAGGTCACTGATTTTTGGCTTGAAGAGCTAAATTCGGTGACTAAAATGCTGCTTGGAATGGTTTTGTACTTGGTAAAAAATGCACGCTAATTTTTTTACTATTCATTATTGGCCAGGTACTCTGCATAGGCCATTTTATAGAAAATGGTATTCATCTCCATCTTTCAGATGAGTAAATAATCTCAGGGAATAATAAATTGCCTCAAATCGTGCAGCTAGTAAAAGGTGGAGCCAGTCTGTGGATACGAAGCCAACTCCTTCCTCTTGAAGGTTGGAAATGCAAATTCTAAATTTAATTGACATCTGTACCTTTTGTTAAAATATGCATTATCAACATGTTCAGAATGGTATAGCTGTTATCTGAACATAGTCTACTAAACATTCAGCATTCAGATTTCTTTCTTTTTTTTTTTTTTGAGATAAGTTCTGGCTCCGTCACCCAGGCTGGAATACGGTGGCATGATCTCAGCTCACTGCAACCTCTACCTCCCAGGTTCAAGCCATCCCCATACCCCAGCCTTCCAAGTAGCTGGGGCTACAGGCCTGCACCACCACACCCAGCTCATTTTTGTATTTTTCTGTGGAGACGGGGTTTCGCCATGTTGCTCAGGCTGGTCTCAAAACTCATGAGCTCAAGTGATCAGCTTGCCTCTGCCTTCCAAAATGCTAGGATTACAGGGTAAGCCACCACACCTGGCCCCCAGATTGCTTTTTAAAAGTCAGTAATGGTAATATGGCTTTAGCAGAGATATATGGGTAAAGTCTTCTTAATGGCATATTTTAAGAGAAAGAAATATGAGAGGAGAGTTTTAGTGATGATTTGAGAATGTCTTAAAGTAATTTTATGATATCTAATATTTACTTGATTAATTTGGCTATTTGCAGCATAAATAGAAAATTAAAAGTAGTACGAATCCTTAGAAAATAAACTCAAAATGGTTAATTATATAGAAAATGTAATATAATGATGCTAACAAAATACAGAAATTTACAAAATGCATTTAGTTTTATTTTTCTGGATCAAAGTATTACTTCTGTCAAATATATTGAATTATCTTATTATTATGCAGTAGACCCACATGATTATATCAATTTTAAAACTGTATTCCATGACAGGTGACTTGTCTGCTGATACTCTGAACTGTTTGAATAGGGTATCAAAAGATGCAGAAAAGAAATTACATCTACTTATATTTTAGCCTATTTTGAACTAATTGAAAAGCAGCTGTCAGAACTGTCCTTCTAGAATTTATTGTTGCCTGTGTAAGGCATTGCTTTTTACTAAGTCCTAGTGATCCTAGCAATAATAGTTTAAAACATAGAGCATGCTTTTTTTTTTTTTAATTTTTTTTTTTTTATTATACTCTAAGTTTTAGGGTATGCTTTTGAGAAGATATTTTTTTTCAGCTACTGCATGTTCTTTCTTTGATTTTGATTTTTATGTACATATTTTTTATTACACTTTAAGTTCTAGGGTACATCTGCACAATGTGCAGGTTTGTTACATATGCATACATGTGCCATGTTGGTGTACTGCATCCATTAACTCATCATTTACATTAGGTATATCTCCTAATGCTATCCCTCCCCCCTCCCCCAACCCCTCAACAGGCCCCGGTGTATGATGTTCCCCTTCCTATGTCCAAGTGTTCTCATTGTTCAATTCCCACCTATGAGTGAGAACATATGGTGTTTGGTTTTTTCTCCTTGTGATAGTTTGCTGAGAATGATGGTTTCCAGCTTCATCCATGTCCCTACAAAGGACATGAACTCATCCTTTTTTATGGCTGCATAGTATTCCATGGTGTATATGTGCCACATTTTCTTAATTCTGTCTATCATTGTTGGACATTTGAGTTGGTTCCAAGTCTTTGCTATTGTGAATAGTGCCGCAATAAACATACGTGTGCATGTGTCTTTATAGCAGCATGATTTATAATCCTTTGGGTATATACCCAGTAATGGGATGGCTGAGTCAAATGGTATTTCTAGTTCTAGATCCCTGAGGAATCACCACACTGACTTCCACAATGGTTGCACTAGTTTACAGTCCCACCAACAGTGTAAAAGTGTTCCTATTTCTCCACATCCTCTCCAGCACCTGTTGTTTCCTGACTTTTTAATGATCGCCATTCTAACTGGTGTGAGAAGGTATCTCATTGTGGTTTCGATTTGCATTTCTCTGATGGCCAGTGATGATGAGCATTTTTTCATGTGTCTGTTGGCTGCATAAATGTCTTCTTTTGAGAAGTGTCTGTTCATATCCTTTGCCCACTTGTTGATGGGGTTGTTTGTTTTTTTCTTGTAAATTTGTTTGAGTTCTTTGTAGATTGTGGATATTAGCCCTTTGTCAAATGAGTAGATTGCAAAATTTTTCTCCGATTCTGTAGGTTGCCTGTTCACTCTGATGGTAGTTTCTTTTGCTGTGCAGAAGATCTTTAGTTTAATTAGACCCCATTTGTCAATTTTGGCTTTTGTTGCCATTGCTTTTGGTGTTTTAGACATGAAGTCCTTGCCCATGCCTATGTCCTGAATGGTATTGCCTAGGTTTTCTTCTAGGGTTTTTATGGTTTTAGGTCTAACATTTAAGTCCTTAATCCATCTTGAATTAATTTTTGTATAAGGTGTAAGGAAGGGATCTAGTTCCAGCTTTCTACATATGCCTAGCCAGTTTTCCCAGCACCATTTATTAAATAGGGACTCCTTTCCCCATTTCTTGTTTTTGTAAGGTTTGTCAAAGATCAGATGGTTGTAGTTGTGTGGTATTATTTCTGAGGGTTCTGTTCTGTTCCATTGGTCTATATCTGTTTTGGTACCAGTACCATGCTGTTTTGGTTACTATAGCCTTGTAGTAGAAGATAATTTTAGCAACAAATTACTTCCTATGAAGTACAAGTAAATCAATGTTAAGGGTAACCATTTTAAAATATTGAGAGGTAAACTTAATTGGAAAATCTTCACAACACCTTTAAAACATAAATTCATATTCTAAGGGGGTCTTAAACATTTTTCAAATGCACTGGAAAATAGCCATGTAAAGTGTGATCTCTCCATTGTACCTCTCACAGAGTAGTTGCATTTTTACAGAAAATACAAGGAACTAAGTATGGACCTTTTGTACCTGCAGATAACTGGTGCATATAATGAAATAAAAGCTGTTATTTCTTATCTCATCCAAGGAGAAAAATGGAAAAATTTTCTAGGAATTTAGGTTGACCTATAATAGACAAGGCGAACTATTAACCTACAATTATTTTCAGGGAAATTTTCTTTGAACTTCTCTGAAAATTGGAGGAGCAATAATTAATATCATGCAGAAGAAAATACCCGGGCTCTGGGATTTCATTTTTTATAGATATGTCATAATTGTACCTATTTTGGGGATACATGTGATGTTTTGATACATGTATACAATGTGAAAATAAAGTCAAGGTAATTGAGATATCCATCACCTCAAACATTTACCTTTTCTTTGTGTTGGGAACATTACAATTCTTCTCTTCTAGTTATTTTGAAATATACAGTAAATTACGGTTAAGTGTAATTTTCCTATGGCACTCCCAAATATTAGAACTTATTCCTTCTATCTAACTATATTTTTGTACTCATTAATCAACTTCTCTTCATTTCTCTTGCTCCCCACTTTCCTTTCCAGTCTCTGGAAACCATTATTCTACCATCTACCTCCGTGAGGTCTACATTTTTTTAGCTCCCATGTGTGAGTGAGAACATTTTCTTTGCCTGGCTTGTTTCACTTAACATAATAACCTTCAATTCCATCCGTATTGCTGCCAGTGACAGAAATTAATTTCTTTTTGTGACTGAATAGTATTTGATTGTATACATATACCACATTTTCTTTATCTATTCTTTCAGTGATGGAAACTTAAGTTGATTCCATATCTTGGCCATTATGAATAGCACTGAAATAAACATGGATGTGGAGATATCTATTCAATACATTGATTTCCTTTCTGTTGATATATACTCAGCAGTGGGATTGCTGGATTGTATGGTAGTTCTATTTTTAGTTTTCTGAGAAACCTCCATGCTGTTTTCCGTAATTGCTGTATTACTTTACATTCCCACCAACAGCATACAAGTATTTCCCTCTCTCTGCATCCTTGCCAGCATTTGTTATTTTTTTTTCTTTTTGATAATAGCCATTCTAACTGGAGTGTGATAATATCTCATTGTGGTTTTGATTTGCATTTCCCTGATGATTAGTGATGTTGAGCATTTTTTCAAACACCTGTTGGACATTTGTATGTCTTCTTTTGAGAAATGTCTATTTGGGTCTTTTGTCCATTTTTAATTGGATTATTATTTGCTATTGAGTTGTTTGAGTTTCTAATATATCCTGGTTATTAACCTCTTGTCAGATGGATGGTTTGCAAATATTTTCTCTCATACTGTAGATTGTCTCTTAACTTTGTCGATTGTTTCCTTTGCTGTTCAGAAGTTTTTTAGCTTGATGTAATCCCATTTGTCTACTTTTGGTTTTTTTGCCTATTCTTTTGAGGTCTTACCCCAAAAATCTTTGCCTAGACCAATGTCTTGTAATGTTTTCTCAATGTTTTCTTCTAGTAGTTTCATAGTTTAGGTTTTACATTTAAGTCTTTAATCAATTTTAAGTTGATTTTTGCATATAGTGAGAGAGAAGGGTTTAATTTCATTCTTCTGTATATGTATATCAGGTTTTCCTAGCATCATTTATTAAACAGACTGTCCTTTCCTCAATGTATGTTCTTGGAGCCTTTGGCAAAATTAGTTGCCTGTAAGTGCGTGGATTTATTTCAGTGACCTTTATTCTGTTCTATTCATCGGCATGCCTGTTTTCATGCTAGTAACATGTTGGTTTGGTTACTATAGCTTTGTAGTATAAACTGAAATCAAGTACTTTAATGCCTCCAGTTTTATTCTTTCTGCTCAGCATTGCTTTAGTTATTCGGAGTCTTTTGTGTTTCTGCATGAATTTTAGGATTCCTTTTTCTATTTCTGCAAAGAATGTTATTAATATTTTGATAAGATTGCTGGAATTTGTCTTTTTAATAGGACAGCAGAGAATATAAGAAATAATATTTGCTTTCATTTCCTGGGTCTTTCATGAAGAATATAAAATCTGTATGTAGTCCTTTTCTACCCTATCTATAATATTTATTATTTAATCATTTAAATGGCAAGGATATGCTGAACTATAAACAAGGTTGGGAATTTGTATAATCCGCATATAACTGTGATTCAGCCAATATGTATATAGTTGATTCTCATTATTTGTGATTTTATATTTACAGATTCACCTTCTCATATCTTTTACATTTTTGTGCTTAATGTTGGTGTTTCCATGGTTTGAAATGGCCCCATAGTGTAGGGCTGACATGCTGTCTCATGTTCCTAAGCACAATAGGCTGTCACGTGCCTTATGGAGAAAACACGTGTGTTAGAAAATCTTTGTGGAGGCATAAGCTACAGTGCTGTTGATTGTGAGTTCCATCTTAATAAATCAACAATATGTATAAACAGTGACACACATAAAACAAAGTTATGTATTGATTATTTGACAAAAATATTGGAGCCACAGAGTTGTGGAAACCTAACCCTCTATTTCTCCTAGTAACAGTGCTTTGGTATTTGCTAATTTAGTGTTTGTGGTGACTTCATAAATCATAACTACTGCAAATATCAAGAATTGACTGTATTGAAAATGTACGATTACCAGGTAGTGGGCTAGGTCCCAGAGATTCAGGAACCAAAGGCACAGTTCCTGGCCCCACAAGGTTCACCATCTATTGGAGAGATGGATTTGTAATAGAATAATTATTCACAGTGGAGAAAATGCTGTGGTACAGAAGCAGCCAAGGTACTAAGAGGAGTCTAATCCTACCTGAGGTGTCCTGGTAATAATATACAGATCCGTAGCTGCATGCCTGAGAAAATGATAGAAACAGTAAAAAAGAATGCACTGCATGTGGGAGAATGTAAAGTAAATGTGGCTATATGTTTATTTTTAAGCACAGCATAATGTTAGTGGGGTTCTGAGTCATTTTGGTACTATATTGTTACAGAAATACACTGTGGTGAAATGCTTCCACCTCTTGCTAAAATGAACACTGAGGAAAAATGAAGAAGACTGACAAGCACCAGCGAAAAGTTGCAGAATAGAAATAGCCACACTCCTCTGGAGTCTTTAATTCATCCACAGCCATCATATAAAGGTAGGGGAATAAATTACCTTATGGTTTTGTCCTTTTAAAATGTATTTTAAATTAAACAATACTAAAAACACAGAAACATGCATGTATTGATTCAACAATATTCTCTGGGTGACTGCTATAGGCCTGCAAACTGTTGTAGGCACTGGAAACTAAAAGGGCAAGCTTATGGCCTTACAGAAGCTGACATTCTAGTGGAAAGTGTAAGTAAATAAATGAAAAGGAAACTGACAACCATTGATAATGTTTATGAACACGATAAGCAGGTTAACGAGATAAGGGATGAGGGACTACTTTAGTTTGAGTGTCAGAGCAGAACACTTAGAGAGTTTGAGCTGAGAACTGAGTGATAGAAAAAAATCCAGCCAAGTAGGGTTTGAAGATCATACCGTCCATGTGTCATGAACCAGGATCCATGTGGATATATTCAAGGTTTGGAAACCAGGCCAGTATCACTTTAAGAGAGGGGCTTTGGAGAAGCAGGATGTAGAAGATGAAGCTGGAGAGCTGTTTAGATGTGGGAAAGTGTCTTCATTTTATTTTAATAAAGATGGAAGTTATTGGAAAGTCATTAGCAGGTGAATGAAAGAATTTATATTTTTTAAAGGCCATTCTTCTTTATTATAGCCAATTAGTATGTGTGGGGGTCGCTACTACCCCCCACACATGGGTACTACCCCCCACGCAGGGTGCTCTTACCCACATAAAAGATACTGCTGACTTGGCTTAGGGATGTGGCATTGGAGATGGATGAATTTGAAAGATATTTTGGCATAGATGACCACCCAAGCTCCTTATGAAGCTCCAAATATAATTCTAATTTCCATATGCAGGGTATGCTGTCTATTTGCGTTTTAATACACAATGGTCAGATTGTAATTTATTCTACTATTTCAAAGAACTGCTTATGATGTAATATGTCTGTGGCCTGCTTCTGAAACTTAGAGGGTGTTGATGTCAAATTGTGAAAATAAAGAAAATTCTGCCCAAAATCTCATATTCTAGGTGGGTTATCTTGTAACACTCGGAGACTTGAGCATTCCAGATGTGTTTGTAGCTCTTCTCCTGCTTCCTGGATGGCTCCTGACTTCTAAGAACATTGTTGCTCAAGCCACTGAGAGGCAGCCTGTGGGAAGGGTGTCCTTCTAGATGAGAAACAAGAGTTTTTTAAGGACTAGTGACTTAGTCAAGCATAACTTCAACACTAAAACTTTTATACTGGGTTATTCATAGATGGAATGTTGAAGGGAAAATTAAAATCCAATTTCAAATTGGTGCTTTAAAAAGATGAGAATATATGGATTCAAGCAATGGTTACCAGAGAAACTTATCCTCTGTGCAGTGAGGGTTTCACATCTTGTATTATGTAACCATTGTGCAATGTCCATAGGGTAGGGAAGAGAGGAAAAGAAATGTATGCAATGACCTTGTAGGTCCAAATTTGCAAGAAGCCAACAGCTACTGTTGGAGGGTGGACAACCCTCAAGTCTGTGCTCAGAAGAGTTTTTCATGATAGCTCAACTGAACGATATTTTAAGATCTCAGCAAAGTGCAGCTTGCTTTCCAATATTCATAACTGTCTGAAATTGTTCTAAACTTGTATGGTGTAGGAATTCTTCCTTCCTCCACCCCAGATCCTTCTGTAAAGCTTTTTGTCGTTAGAAAACAGACCCAGTGCAGCAATTATACAGTGCTGGATAATTAAAAAGTCACATGAGACTCTACAAGTTCACAGGAGGGCCAAGGCTCAAGCTTACTGAGGGGTATTTTGTACCACACAGCTCAGGTAGCTAAAAGCAAGCTTTGTTAAGAAGTAAACAGGTGCAAACCATCAATCAGTACAATTTTGATAAACAGCATGGACAAGCTGGTACAGGATGCTGGTGGGGTTTTAGACTTTTCACAGCACCTTATAAATCACTAGCTAGTACATTTCACCTCTGACATGGCCAAAATCAATACCATGTTTCCAGGTGCCCATCAACATAAGCAAAGAGCTACCAGTGCACAAGTTAACCCTTTCCTCATATACTTAGAGAAATGAGTCAGGATGAAAACAAAGAAGACCTAAAAATGACATACGCCATTCTGTGATTAGTCTTGTCATCCACTGGACTAGATAAAACTCTTTGATTAGCTGGAGAGATCATTAAAAGGCTAGGCCTTTCAAATGGAAGTCAAAGTTCCTTAAGAAATGATGGGATTCTGAAGCAACAAGACTAACATGAACTAGAAAGAGTAATGGTGCCTTAGGTTGATTTCCCCAGAAGCAGAGTGAAACAAAAAAAATGGAGTGGTGTTTATTCAGAGGTGATGCCAGCATACGTTTGTAGGGTAGTGTGGATGTGAGCAGAGGAAGGAAGGAAGACAGAAAAGGTGCCTTATTGTTTCTGTGATCAAGAGGGGTACAATCACATTAGGTAACTTTGGGATACAGCATAGAACATAACTTGGATTTATCCCAATCAAGGGCATGGAAATTAGGGTATTTAGCTATCTTCTCCCATATGTCTCGACTAAGGGCTGCTCCCTTAGGTGGAGGTGTGGAGTGTCGACTCCCTGGTATTTGTAACGTGCCATACATGTAGACCAAGAAAACTCCAGCAGCCAGAGGAAGTCCTCAGGCAGAGTCCCAGATGTTTGCTTTTGAAAGCCACCATCAGGTCAACTTGCACAATGATGATAACTGCCAATGAGATGAGGATAGAGCACCTACAGTTTCTGCTACAAGAAGTGACAACAAAGATGATGGTGATGATCATGATCATATGAATAGAGCTATCATTTATTGAGCAACTAGAAGCCAAGTCCTATATTAAATGCTTTACATGCATTTTATGATTTAATTCTTATATGTTGGATATCCCCTCTGTCAGGTGGGAGATATTTATACATGATTATATATATATAATCACCACAATCTTGCAGAATGTATGTTATTCCGGTCTTTAATTTAGAGATGACCACACAAGACTCATCAAGGTTAACCAAATTATCTGAAGTAACATAGGAAATACAGTTGAGATTCAAACCCGAGTTTGTCTGCCTCCAAAAGGGTCCCTTGGCTTAGGCAACAGTGTAATCCTTAATTAACTAATTAATCATTGACATTTTTCTGACACTCATCTATTAAAAAGTCAGCAGGCACTATTTAGATTCTGAGATACAAAACAAAAATTGCTCCTGTTCCCAAGGAGTTCTATGTTTATGGAAGAGAAAGACCAAAAGACTGTAGTATTGTAAGGGCTAAACTAGAAGTATGTTGTAGCTATTGAACAGGATCAGTAAAAAGAGTATCACTTGTTGCTGTATAACAAATAGCCCCATAACTCAGTGACTTAATATAATAAGCATGTGTTATTGATCAGGAGCCTGTGGGTGAGTTGGGGACTTCTACTGATTTGGACTAAGCTTGGCTGATCTTAGCTAGGTTTGCTCTGTAGTCTGCTGACAGGTTGGCTGGGGCTGAATAGTCTCAGATGCTTCACTCCCATGTCTGGTGCTTGACTGGATGTGGCTAGGGCAACTCACTTCTCCAGCAGGCTAGCCAAGACTTATTTATGGCAACTGAGCCATGTGGATCACTTATTCAAGAGAATAAGTGTAAGGATGCACGGCTGCTTAAGACCTGGCCTCAGAACAATCACTTCTACAACATATACATCAAAGAAATTCACAGAATATCTCAGATTTAAGGGATGTGGAAATAGACTGTACCTCCTGGTTAGAGGAGTTCAAAGTCACATTGCAAAAGACATTGATAAAGGAAAAAGAAGAACTAGATTGCAAACAATCTACCGGGAAGAAAACATCTGAATAAAAGATTACAGAGTAAGTAGGTATTCCCTAGCCAAATAAGATTGGAAGAGAATTTAAAACAAGAAGGGGCTGGGGGCCATGCCTATAATCCCAGCACTTTAAGAGGCTGAGGTAGAAGGATCACTTGGGTCCAGGAGTTTGAGACCAGCCTGGGCAAATAGATGCTATCTCTACAAAAAATAAATTAACTGAGCATGGTGGCACTGCCTGTGATCCCAGCTGCTTTGGAGGCTGAGGTGGGAGGATCACTTGAGCCTGGGAAATAGGCTGTGATCATACCACTGCACTCCAGGCTAGACAACAGAGCAAGACCCTATCTCAAAAGAAAAGAAAAAAGAAAGAAAAGAACAGAAAAGAAAAGACAGCAGGATAGTATGTATTTAAAGACATAGGAATATAGTGTTTCATAATGCTGTCAGGTTACTTGGGAATGGTGAGGGAGAGAGAGGAGGATTAAAGACAAGAAATATGTAAAATGTACCAGAATTCAAGAAAATAAAAGTTAATTTGCAGACAGAATAATATGTTTATGAAAAAGTGACAGACAAATGGGAAGATGAACAAAGTTAGGTCAATGGATGAATGTATGGTTGATTGGACAGTCAGGTGTGGTAATAGGGTTACCAAAATTGTTAAGATTATCTCTTAGAAAAAAATTTGTAGGTTGGGCTTGGTGACTGACACCTGTAATCCCAGCACTTTAGGAGGCTGAAGCAGGTGGATTGCTTGAGCTCAAGAGTTCGAGATCAGCCTGGGCAACATGGCGAAACCCCATCTCTACAAAACAAACAACAACAGCAAAAAAAAAAAAGAAAAAACAAAAATTAGCCAGGAATGGTGGCATGCACCTGTGGTTCCAGCTACTGGGGAGGCTGAGGTGGGAGGATCACTTGAGCCTGGGAGGCAGAGGTTTCAGTGAGCCAGGATTGCACTGCTGCACTCTAGCCTGTGAAACAGAGCAACACACCCTGTCTTAAAAAGAAAAAAAAAAAAAAAAAGAGTTTGTAGAATGTGTATTTATTTCAACAAGAAAGGAAGGAGGAAATACCTTTGTAAGTGATTGAAGAAAACAATGTGGTTGAAAGCAGACCTGAAGGAAATAACTTTTCAGCATGTGACTGTGTTTGTGGCTTCAGGGAGCTATTGTGATGATGCAGATTGCAGGATAGAAACTCTTTCTATGGGACAACTTTTATAAGCGTGCTAAGCATAGTGAGTAGGTTTTTGTGAAAACGAATGAAGAGTTTGACTTATGGTCACAAGCAAATTCCGAGGCTCTAGATTCTCACAAGGCCAAGTCTCTGTGAAGACTGCTGATGTTAGAGATATATTTATATAGAGATTTGTGCATGTGTGTGTTTCCACTGCAGTATGTATGTGAGATGGTAATTTTCAATTCATGGATTTCTCCACTCTGAGACTGAGTTGTGTCAATTGAATAGCAGCTCTATTCTACAGTTTTCCCTAGCCACTTTCATTGTACTCCTGGGTCTGTGTTGCAAGTGTGGAGCTCGCCCAAATCACCAGGTGCAGCAGATTTTACTGTGAAGTTTAACAGGCTAATATTAGCATCTCAAGCTCCTCAGAGGCAGAATGGAAACTTTTGTAGTTCATTTTCACAGCTAAGTAATACTACACTGTGTTAATATATCACAATCTATCTGTTCTTTTATAGATTGATATTTCTGTTGTTTCCATTATCTGCTATTATGAAAAATGGTAGTATGATCATTTTTTATATCTCTCCTGGTGCCTGTGCAAGAGTGTTTCAAGGAAGTATATGTAGAAGTGGATTCCTAGGATATAAGATGTATAGGTAACCAACCATCTCGGTTTGCCTAGAACTGAGGAGTTTTCCAGGATGCAAGATTTTTGGTGCTAAAACCAGGACAGTCTCGATCAAAATGGTATAAGTGGTCACCCTGAATACACATATGATCGATTTTACAACATAATACATATTAACCTCTTTCCCACAGAATTGGTAGCAATTTACACTCCCAACAAGTGGTATATGACTATTCCCTTTGAACACCATTCTCCTCATGCCTGGTGTTCTTGATATCTTAATTTTTGCCAATCAATTGAGTGTGAAATGGAATCTTGCTGTAATTTGATTTTCCCTGGTTACTAATGAGGTTTGGCATCTTTTCATGTTTAGTTTTCCCTTTGTGTGTTCTGTTCTGTGAAATGCCTTCCATATCTTTCATCTTTTTTCCATTTTTTTTTTAATTAGACACATCTCATTTATCTCTTCAGATTTTCTTGATTTTTCCAGTACTTAGGTTAGGGTCTCTCAACAGCAGCAGTGATGGCATTTTGGACTGCATAATTCCCATGGGATACTGTCCTGTGCCTTGCAGCACATTTAGCAGCACGCTTGGCCTTTACCCACTAGGTGCCAATAGCACCCCCAAGTAATGAAAATAAAAAATGCCTCTAGACATAAAACTACCTCTTGCCAAATGTTTCCCCAGGGAACAAGATTGTACCTGGTTGAGAGCGTCTTGCTCCTGTGGGAAAGAGAAGGTAGCAGGGCAGGTAAATTCCATTTCCATTTCTCTCTCTGACGATCTCTCTCTCTCAAGGCCTATACAGCATGTCTCTGTCCAGCATGTTTAGAGGTGTTGCGTGTCACATAGCAGATGCTTTGCTGGACCACTGGCTGTATTTCTTCATGGTAATGCAGTGGTCACAGCAGTAACGTCTCACTTTGTCTTGCTGCTCACCCTTCCCTGCTTCATTTCCTATCTCTTCTCTTTCACACCTTTGGATTTCATATTCCAATTAAAACCTCAGCGCTTAGTGCATGTCTCAGGTTCAGTGTCCTAGGGAAACTGAACTAAAACAAGTAGTTGCAGACAAGATACCCTACAGATAGGATTTTGGAATTTGATTACTGACCTGTCTGAAAGCAATAGGGATCATATATTTAGTGGTAAATTGGGATAAAAATAAACCCTGGCAGGCAGGCAGCAGCATTACAATTACTTAAGCTCTCATCTGCAGTAAATTGGGAAATGGCTTAAGTGGAAGGTCAGGTGTTAGGAGGCCTACTAGCTGCAACACAAAGTGGCTATTAGAGCACTGATAATTATGCAGATTGTGAAGTAGATGGCTACTTTTGACCTGCGGAAAGAAAATGTTAAGCTGAGGATGGTTCATTGCCAACTTAAGGCATGCTCTGAAAGCCAGAGGACATCATCTATGGCTACTTTAAAGGAGACTAATCTCTGGTCACTGCAGGGCAGACTGTGTTGTAACACAGGCCCAGGATCTGACTATAAGGCTGGTAGGGCTGCCAAGGAGACAGGATACACAGCTTTGTAAAATCTTCTGTTTCAAACTCAGGGCCATGTTCGGAATAAGGAGACGTGGGATGAGTTCATTTGGATGGATGAGCTTGAGGACCTTAAACTTCTAAGTTCCCTTAAACCACCCTGGAAGACAGGCGTCATCCTTCTTTTTCTGACAGAGAAGAACAGCTTTCCTTGCCCAACAGTTATGTAGGAATCTCACCTGAAGCAGGTGCCTTATGAGATAATTCTTGCATGTCTTAAGATCTTTCTCTGCCACTGCTCATTGCCTCCATGCTGATAACTAGGGTGTAGACTCAGCAGAGAAGTATCAGCCCTCTCCAGGGGGAAATAGCCTATCCACTGAACAATTGAAGTACCTTGAAACCCACCCGGGAGTGGACCTTGTATTAGAGTGGAGGGGGGGATATATGTTGTGCTGAACTCTTATTGACTTCACTGGGGATGGCACCAAGTTCAAGAGGCAGAAGAAGAGACCCAGAGCCAGAAACAAGACATTGGGTCTCATGAAGGTCTTACATACAGGGGAGAGAGTCCAGTGGTGGTGAGCTAGACCGGAGAACCACAACACTTGCAAAAAGCATACAGTTTATGTAGCATTTTCACTTAGCACCCTCCCCCAATAACTTCCACCTGGCAACCTTTTAACCCAAAACACAGGGCCTCAATCCCCTGCACAGCCCACATTCCACATGACAGGATGGGGCCCAGATGTTCCTCATAGAAAAGGAATAGCTCTCTGGGTTGGCCACTCCTGGATTCCCTAGCTCGGAATTCCCAACTGCATTCAGGTGCACCATACAGGGTCATTCTTAGCATATGCTTAAGTAGTTGTTATCAGGTACATTCACCATACAACATAATGCTAGATCAGAGGGTATTCATTGATATAGAGACACTCACTCATAAGTCAAGATTCAGTTGTTTGTCAAGGACACTTGGAGCTGATCCCGATAGTTTTCTGGGGTGGTTCTTCAAATCCTGTATGTTCTGATGGCCTACAGCAAATGAGGAAATGCCACAAGTTCTTTGACAGTCTCAATAAAGGGTCTGACGGCTCAGAGAGGAGGGATGTTAGAATGCATGTTAAAAAGGTTTTAGGTACAATCTATCACTTGACTATTTCTAACTAAGAAGGCCCAGAGGACACTCCCTTCACAAAGACAATAAGGGATCCTGAAAAGGAGTGCTGACACCTTTGAGAAGGTGGTCTGTAAAGGCTGCCATCTATGGGCTGGGATTGACATTTGAAGAAGCTGTCCAGGAGTTAATCTTCCTAATATTGCTGGGATCATGAGGCCCAGAACAACAGAGGCTAAGTAGCAGTGCTTAGTGTTAGAGGTCAGGTGGCCTTAACTACTATAATGCATAGCAAAATTAAAGTGGCAGTCAGGGTGCCTTGAGCCACAGGGATCTAACAGTGGCTAAGAGATCCTGGAAATCTTTGGGACAAAATAACTGGGCAGCTAATAGATCTGCAGTTTGGATAACAGGGGAGAACAACTGAAGGGTTATAAACCATGGAATATCACGGGCCCTTTATAGGTTTCCACATCTAAGTCAGTTCAGAGATGGCAAAGGAACCATGGCAGTCAGCTCATGTTCATGTTTCATGTTTATTCCGTTTTTAATTTTTTGTACATTTTACACATCGTGATTGCATATCTACCTGCTAATTCTAATACATGATGTACAATCGGTACAGTAAACCAGTTGATTGTTATTTGGTCATCTGGGGCTCTGGGTGACCAAAGCTCCTCAGGTCATGGGTAATATTTGAGTATTGATGCAAGCATGCAGGAATCCTTAGGGCCTCTACTGGGGATGTTTTCCCATGGAGAGTATTGCTTTGTGTTCTCTAGGAGTCAGAAACATTGGCTGTCTTCTGGGATTCCACGCTAGGGACTGACTCTCAGGCTTGGCTGCTCTGCCTCCCATTGCCCAGGGCCTAGGCTTTGTCTTTAGAGCAGTGTTGTTATCATCATATTCCTTTAGAGCTACCCAGTCATTTTCATTAGTTTAATTCCTAAATCATTTCTCTGGTGTCATTTCTCTGTCATTTATTTTTGAGGGCAAAGGTGGAGGGAAGCTCGGATATTTCATTTACTAACTACTGAGCCTAGCAAAACTTATTACTTCTTTTTAAATTTTTTTTGAGACAGGGTCTCTCTGTTGTGCAGGCTGGAGTGCAGTGATACAGTCATGGCTTACAGCAGCTTCAAGCTCCTGGGCTCAAGCAGTCCTCCTATCTCAACCTCCCAAGTAGCTGGGACTACAGGTGCAGGCCACCACACCTGACTAATTTTTTATATTTTTAGTACAGACGAGGTCTTGCTATGTTGCCCTGGCTGCTCTGGAACTCCTGAGCTTAAGTGATCCTCCTGCCTCAGCCTCCCAAAGTGTTGGGATTACAGACATGAGCTACCATACCAGGCCATCAAAATTGACCTTTTTATAAATGTATCCAGGATATATTTGCATTTTAGCATAGGGATCCTTTAAATTACCTAGACTGCATACTACCAAAAATGAAATAACTTTGTCTCTCTACTTGCCTGAAAATGACTTAGAGCAATTAGCAACTGCCCAGTGCACCAATTATAATGGCATTGAGTTTGGTCCAGGAAGTCTTTAATTGAATGAATCAGAGGGGTATTCTTATCTCTTGTGCAGTATCTTTTTCACATGGTTAACAGGTATTGATCAGAAGACTGGGCCTGTGGGCATAGATCCTGAGTGACGTTTCTCTAGTCAGAGGCAAGCTCAGCTGGTCCCCTCTCCACACATTCCTTATTTATGGAACGCTCACATTCAACATGTACTGAGCTGTCCCTCTTATTTAGTCATTTTTTAGAAACATGATAGTAAGTGGTACATTTCAGGAATATTTTCACACGTTTCAAAGTTTGACATGCACAAAGACAAACTTTTAACAGTTCAGAACACTTTCATTTTTGGAACTGCTATCTCTATATATATAGAGAGAAATGTGAATGACTTTGCTTGACTCGTCAAAGGGCGGAGCAGGGTTCTCATGCCTGTGGAGACCACACGGTGTAAGGCAAAGTAGGCAGGGGGTGAGAACTTTTTAAAGAGGGAAACGTAGGCCTGTGTAAATGCAATGGCTCCTACCTATCTCCAATCTATCATTGCTCTATGGGAATGTGGGCCAGATATTCCAGTTTTTTAAAGGAAGCTTGAAAGCTAGAGTTTTCTAATATAAAACCTCCTAATTTTTAAACATTGCTTTATTAAAAAACAAAAATATGCAAACAACAAGTGACCTGATTTTCTGGGGGAACAAAACATGTTTGGGGCGCCCTATGTGCTGAATCTAGCCTGCAGACAAGTTCAAATATGCAGCATGTAGCTTGAGATGGATGAGTTTCAAAATGCAAATCCTATCTGCACTGGCAATTGGATTATTTTGTGTCAAGGAAAATGACTTTTCTGTCTTAAGGTATTTTTGCTTTTGATTGCTTCTTTTATTGCTTGGGATTTTCTTCTCCCTGGTATAACAGCCTAGTGGATACTTTATCATCTAAAGCTACATATAAGCCTATACTATGATCCAGCAATAGCCCCCCTAAGTGTATACCCAAGGAAAACTAGTGCATGATGGATCTATTCAAAGTAACACAAAACTGGAAACAAGCCAGAAGTTCAACAACAGAAGAATGAGAAATCTTGGTTTATTCATTCAGTGGAATGCTGTGCAATAATAAGAACACACTTTTGTTTTGAGATAGAGTCTCACTCTGTCACCCAGGCTGGAGTGCAGTGGCACAGTCACAGCTCACTGCAGCCTCAACCTTCCAGGCTCAAGCAATCCCCTCATCTCTGACTCCCTAGTATCTGGGACCACAGGTGCTTTCCATCACGTCCAGCTAATTCTTTTATTTTTGTAGAGACTAGTTCTCACTATGTTGTCCAGGCTGGTCTCAAACTCCTGGGCTCAAGCTGTCCTCCCACCTCAGCCTCCCAAAGTGCTAGGATTACAGGTGTGAGCCGCTGTGCCTGGCAGAACATGCTGTTGATACACACAACAACATGGATGAATCACAGACATGTTGAGCAAAAGAGGCTGGACTCCCCAAAAATGTATGTATGTGTGATTCTATTTATAAGGAGTTCAAAAACTGGCAAAATTAATCTTTGGTGTTAGAACTCAAAAAACTAGTTTGATATGCTGAGTTAACTGTCTCCTTTTGCAGCTCAGGGGTAACTGCTTAGTAATTTGAAGGAGGTTCTTAAGTATCCCCATTTGCCATAGGCATGAGGGGACCGGGTGCTTGAAGGTCCACCCTTCCAACCCTTCACCAACTGAGACATCTCCATCACAAATGCATGCATGTAGAGAGGAAGGCACTCTGATTCCCCATGTGACACGATATTTCACTTTTTTTTCCAAGTCCTCCAGGTTCCCACTTGTGAAATACAAGTTCCTTATCTATCACAGAGATGTAGAGTTTTTTTTATTCCTACCAAGCTTGAAGGAGTGGCTCTTTGTGGAGCATTACTTATGTATATGTTGATCTCACATCTTCCCCAGAGCATCCTAGTCTCTGCAAATAAAATTAAAAAAAAAAAAAAAAAAAACAAGAAGCAAAATAACCCTTCTCTTTTCCCTCATAAGCTTAATATTTTTTTTTCAAGTTTCAAAAGGAATAGACTGAGGGGAAGAAAATATACACCCAAGGCTATTTCTCTACTACTAGGAACTGGTGTTTCCATACAGATTGTTTCTCATACCTGGGGGATGAGTAAGTGCAGCCTTGAAAGGAAGCAATTGGAAAGTACCTAAAAGAAGCTCCCAGCCTATTTTATTTGGCATCTGCTCTCTAGGGCAGAAAGTGAGACAAGGAGAATCTGCAGTAAAAACCAAAGGAGTAACTGAAGAAGGGGAAACATTCACTGAGCCCTTAAGCTAGAAAGACCTCTAATATTACAATCAGGACTGTGTATTTCAAACAACCTGTAAATAGTGGTGGCTTATTGCAGCTGATAGGACACAAAAGACAGCAAGCAGAGATCTGGTTGTAGTACAGGGGATGCAGAGGAGGGCATTGTGACCGTTCTTTAAGGATTTGTTCCTAATTCAAAGTTTCCTCTATCTCCACATTATTCAAACATCACTACTCAAAATAGAAAACATGGAAATAACTCAGAATCTATAAAGTGCTTCACTTGCTTATTTATAGTGCAGGAAAGATAGGAAAAATTTTAAAAATGGTTATTTTGTTAACTTCCAGTTGTTACATCTCTGTGTTTTAAAATCAAGTTATATCTCATTACAATAAGCTTCATGGGAAATTTGGCATTTTATTCCATGGAATTCTCACTGGTCAAAATCAAAGGTACTTGACCTAGGTAGGAATCAGGTGTCTTAAATCATGCTTAGCTACATCACTTATAGACAGCAGTGCAGTCCTGAGTTCACTTCTTAACCTCTCTGAGCTCCGGGTGAAACAAAGTGAAATCCATGCTTTGTCTGTTCCTTAAGTTTGGTATGAAACAAAGCCAAAGGCATCCTAACAAAGTGTCCAGTGTGAAGTGAATGGGAGGTATGATCATTCTTAGCCCTGTGACTTAGAAAGCAAACCAAATGGCATGTCTGCAAACATTCCTTAGATGAAGTGCTTTTTGATTCTTGTAATTAATGTTTGTTTTTTATTGGGAAATGGATATAAGTATCATTAGTTATGGGAAAGAAGTTAAAGATCATGCATTCATGGGGAGAAAAGGAGCTATACAGTTACAATAGAAAGCACTGGGATTTATACTATCCTCTCTTTCTGGCTGGCCAAAGAGTATAACTCCATGGAGTTGTTTTTCCTTATGTCTAAAAAGAAATACCAGTATCTACCACCCTGAACTACTTAAGAGGAGTGTTGTAAACATCAAAGGAAATCATGTGTGAAAAGGCTTTAAAAGTTCAAATAAAGAAAAAGAGTATATAGTTGAGGGGTTATACCACTTTTCCCTCTTATTCTCAGAAAGGTTTCTAAGCATTATATTGAGGATTCTGATAAGATTAATCAAGCCCTCTCCCACTTGTAATGCTATCTGATTTTTTTCTTCCTTTTACAAATCTAAATAAGTAAAGATAGTATCTAGCAAAAGGCATTGTATGTGTCAAATTCATCATATGGTCAAACAGTACTAACATCATGGGCTAATGTCAATTAGCCCATGTCAACATTTTATTGTATTAAAACATTAGTCAATGTTTTACTAAATCAATGTTGGCCATAACTTGGGAAAATGTGTATTGTCCAAACCAAGACTGGTTTGAGAGTGAAAAGGAGAGCTGTTAATAATTATGTCAGCCTAACAATAGTCAACTAAGACTGTTCTTGGACAAGAAGTATTGTCTAAAAGCTTCCTTTTTAAAATAAGTCATAATTATGCCTAATATGTTCTACAGACTAATAAAGGTATGGGGAAGATTTTTTAATGAGCAAACTAAATGTATTCCATGGTTCTAGCCTTCAAGTAGCCACAAGTCTATATGGTAAGAGAAAGATTATGAAATACAAGGATGCAAAATTAGTAAATGAAAGACATCATGCTAGCTAACAAGTGTTGGATTAAGTGGAGTAGAATCTTGGAGATTTAGACACAACCATAAAGATTCAGACAACCTTGAGTTGTTGGGGAGCTTCTCTGAGAGGGCCAAAGTCTTTAACTGGGTCTAGAAGACTGGTGGGAGCTAGGTAGATACAGGGAATAGCATATTTGGAGATATTTGGGGCAGGTAAAACAACATGGAGAAACACATAAATTGATGAGTTTCCATGGTTGTGTGTAGAGGGGAGAGAGAAGGGCTGTAATGAAATTTCATAAGGATAAAATCTATTGTTTCAACAAATAGTTATTCAGCATCTGTTACATGATGGGCAGTGTTCTGACTTATAGAAATAAAACAGTGAACTAAACATCTTTACCCTTATGGAGTTCGCGTTTTAACAAAAGAGAACTTCCCTTAAAATCTGCACCTTCTCTAAATGAATGTTTAGATGGCAAGAAGTCTTTTGGGGGAAGGAGGAATGCTGCTTGAAAAACAGAAAATGGATGATTCAGGTCATTTTGTGCTAAAATAATAAGGGATTTCCAGCAACTGAGCTAATTTATCTTCCTAAGCCAGAATCTAAGACATGGAGAAAGGTTTATCAAGCATCCATCTATCCATTCATTCATTCAACAAATGTTTATTGAGAACTTACTAGGTGTCTGGCTCTTCTGTGTGCTGGGGATACTGCAATGAGAAGTTTGGAGAAAGTTCCCTGCCTCTGCAGAGATATTCATCTAGTAAAACTGGATCTTCCCAGATTGTATATTCTAATCCACAAAAATGAAAATTAAAAAAATAAAAACTCTTCAAGTACTTCTTTACATATTCACTTTCTACATACAGAGCTAATAAGATGAAAGTGGTTATTTGCTTTTCTCCATAATACAATTTTCTTACTCTGATTATTACTGTGTGGGTCCAAGTCTTTGCTTCTGCAAATGTAATAGATGCCTGTGGCAATTGAGAATCATCAGGAAACAGAAAAAAGAAACTTTCTCCCACACGTCTGTCTCAGAGAGTAGTAGACCATTTGTCGTGCCATGGGCAGTCCTATTTGGAAGATGTGAGATGATAACCTGACTATGAGGTTAAATAACCCCCCAAAATGCTTCTGCTTCAGACAAGACAGTATATTTACAATGTTGTAATATAGAGTAAATGTCACTGTATAAAACAAAAATGTGGATCTGTTATTCCTAGTTTGAAAACTGGGGCACACATGAGAATCACAGAAACACAGATTGCTAGACCCACCCACTAGAGAGCCTGATTCCAAAAGAATTTTCATTTCTCCCAATCCCCAGTGATACCTATGCTGATGGTCCAGAGGTTGCACCTTGAGAACCACTGTGTTCTTCTTTCAATATGTGGCTGTCATATGAATATAAAATGGATTGATCTGTAGATAATGTAAATTGTAATATTTATAAAGGAGGTCATTGTATTCATGTAACTGTCTATGGCTGGGTTACCCAGTATGGTAGCCACTGGCCACATGGAGCTATTGAACTCTTGAAGTGTGGCTAGTGCCATATGTTGAAATAAAAATATTTTGGATATCTTACGTTAAATAAAATATATTATTAAAACTAATTTCACTTGATATTTAATTTTAATGTGGCTACTAGGAAATTTAAAGTTAACATGTATGACTCACATTTCATTTCTACTAGATAACACTGGTCTATGGAGCTTTTCTAAACATGTATATGCTGAGGGTTGGTTTTTATAGAACTTAGAAGTTTTTTTAGAATTTAAAAGTTGAATTTTTTTTTTTAGAATTTGAGAGTTACCAGCAGAGGAAACGAAGGTATTGTGCTTTCTTTGTAAATAGCTTCTCAACAGTATCCTTTTTATTCAGTTGTTTTGAGTAGTAGTTAATGAGATAATATTCACTGGAAGATTCCTTCAATAGATATTTGCCAACCTTCACATCTTAATTAATGTGGCTGTTGGGTCAGTTTCTCCCAAATTTACCTTAGTTCCTTGGAAGTGTTAAGAAATGCTCTCCTTCAGAAGCAAGGGTTATTAAAGGTCACTGCATTTCCCTTTTTAGAATCCATTCAAGCTCCAGTTGCAATACACATAGATCGATTTCAGATAGATCGTAAATCTAAAAGCAGGATAATGTATTTATGAACTTGGTGGGAGCAAAGACTTTTTCAATAGGACATAGAAGGTAATAAATATAATGGAAAAGATATGTAAATTGGACTAAACTAACAAGTATTCATCAAATACATCTTTGAGCACGAAAAGGAAAACCATAAAGTGGAAGAAAACATTTCAGTACGTTTGTTCGACATATCCAGAATTTATAAAGAACTCCATCAAATGAGTAAGAAAAAGGAAGAGAACCTAATGTGAAAATCGGCAAGGGACTTGAACAGATATTTCACAAAAGAGGATATCTACATGGCCAAGGCACATGAAAGAAGCTCAAACTCACTAGGGAAATGCAAAATAAAGCCACAATGAGATGCCACTGCACACCCACCAGAATGACAATCATGAAAGGATTGACAATTGGAAATGTGAATAAGGATGTGGAGCAACTCTTAAGCTATTGGCAGGAGTGTAAATTGAGCACTTTGGAAAGCTGACTGGAACACTCTACTAAAGCCAAATATACTCATATCCTTTGACACAGCAATGCTACTCTTAGGTATGTATATACCCAATAATAATGCATCATACATGTCACCAAAAGACACGTACTTGAACATTCAGGCAGCATTATTTTTAAAAGTCCTGAATTAGAAACAACCCAAGTGTCCATCAACAGTAAAATGAACTTACAAATTATGGTATAGTCATGCTATGATATACTAGACAGCAATAAGAAAGAACATGGCCTATCACGACATGAATTAATCTCACAAATACAAAATGTTGAATCAAACACACTTAGAATTGTATGATGTAATGATTCTATTCATATTAAGTCCAAAATCAAGCAGACCAATCAATCTCTGGTGGGAGAAGCTAAGATAATGTTTTGCCTTTGATGGAGTTGGTTACTTGGGCACAGCTTGAGGAAGGCTTCTAGCATTTTCCTCCTTGGACTGCACTGTGGTTTCAGGAATGTGTTCCCTTTGTGAAAAGTCGTTAAGCTGTACCCTTTTCTGTATACATGTTATACCTAAATAAAATGTTTAACAAAAAGAGAGAAGAGGAAATACAAAGTCATACCCCATGACCCTCCCAGAAAAAGTAACTCACCTCTTTAAAATACACACACACACACACACACACACAAACACACACACACACAAACACACACACGGCCATCACTGTATCTCACTACTTAAAATTTAAAAATAATATAGACTTTCGTTTTATACTTAAAACTCTAGTTTGCAATTGACCTTCAGAAATTGTTTTAATATAATAAGATTTTTTGCAGCTATCAGTCCAATTTATTTATCTTAAATTCCTCATTGGACATATATCATTGAAAATCAAAACTAGAATTATAGTGCAAAGTTAAAGTGTAAGTAGTATATTGTTCTATATTCAATTCAATGTCATCTAGCTAATAGAGATCTTATGTGATTCAACTTGTCCTGAAAAACCTTAAAAAAAAAAGGACCTTGATGATAGGCAGGTTCTATAGACCATGAGATTTGAATAACTCTATATACAGTTAATTCCAAAGATTTATGACAATCATAAATTTATACAACTGATATCCAATTATTTACATTAGATTGAAGTGAGAAACTAGATAGAGGTATTATTTTAAAAGTATAAATTGTTCAACACAGCTTATTCAAAAGTGTTTATGAGTGCATGGTTATATTCCTTACTTGTAGGCAGCTGGTCGTAATGCGTATCTTTATAAAGTGTTAATGAGCTTTATTATATGACTCAAAATTTATTTGCTCAACAGCATTTTTGGTTTTAGCATGTAAATGTATGATTATGATACAGTAACACATAATATATCTGCAGAACTACATTGAAATTCTACATTACTGACAAGTTTCCACTAATGTGAACTATATGGCTCTTTGAGTTAGAAATGTCTGTAATTACTGTTCTTTGGCTTTATTGGTATTACTTATGGGGAAATTGTGTAGTGTATGTGCATGTGAGAGAGAGAGAGAGGGAGAGAAAGGGAGGGAGGGGAAGATGGAAATGGACAGGTAAACGAGAGATGAAGAGAGAGAGAATGGAAGCAGAAGGGAGGAGGGAGAGAAACTACTACAATGAATTAAACTTTTGTTTCTGCATTGACTTTTTGCATTTGGAGAATAAAAAGCCAAAGCCATTTCTCCTTGCCATCTGTGTTAAGAGGGTCTTATCCCACTCTTAGATTATCAAGAAAAATGTCAGATTTACAAGGAGTGCCACTTTTATCCCCTTTCTGAAAGAGGAATATCAATTGCCTTCACAAAGGATCAATTGTATTCTCTTATCATAAATGACTTATTTGCCATCCACGGAACCAGGAAAGTTGCCATTCTTCTTTGCTTAACCTTAAGTCAATTCAACTGCAGGACACTCAGAATAAAGTGGAAATATATTATAATATTGACCCATGATTTGCTGGTAGAGGAGAAACTAGCATTGCTACTGTGGCAGTCACTTTATATACTTTATTTTATTTAATTCTTTTAGTAAACTCATAATATAGACTTTTTGTTTTGTGAGTTCGTGTGTTGGTGGGGAGAGAGTAATGTATTTATTTATTTAATTTTTTTTAATGAAGAAACTGGAGATGGAAGAAATCCAGGATTTGTCCATCAGGCTCACACAGCTGCCAAGCTGGTATTGATTGGCCCAGGTGAACTCTCACTCATTCTAGGATAACATCCTTCCTCCCAGTTTTGGAACTTTGTCATGACCATGCCTAAATCTTTTAAAATGCCAAAATTTCCAAAGTTTGTGAAGGTATATTTTACAACTATTTGAAAAGGCATCATGAATACTTAAGAACTAGGGTGATGATTAATTTCCAAATTTTCCCCTCTAAACTAATTAAATGAATGATGTTGAATCATCTGTTTTAAAAAAATCACTGAGAGTTAGAATTCCTTTAGTGTTGAACTCCTTAATTTAAATTATATTATATAGAAGTTTATCCATGGAATAAAACATAACCTAACTGCCAGTTGAAATAAAATTGTGGCTGACCCTTCCAAAGTTCTGTGGATAAACTCCTATGCATACAGCAGCGAGGATGAATACTTAACACTCCGGAATCCCATTCTGAGAGCATATTTGCATTTTCATACGGAAGGTGTGATGCCAACAAGTAATTTCGAAAGCTAATTACAAAAGCCATCTTTAACCTTCTTATTGCTTTCACACAAAGAATGTGGCTTTAATATTTCTTGGTGTTAATGTACAGTTAGAAGCGATACTGATGAAACAGGTCCTGATATCTGGCTGTTTTCTTTTACATGAAAAATTCTGACTATGCTCAAGTACTCTATCAGAGTGAGCAATTGCTTCAGTATTAATTCTCTGGAAGGAAGAATGTATAATCAGCAAAGTTTGAACAATTAGTGATGTATGTACCACTATGTACCTGGGCAGGTTGAGTGATTTCTTTGCACATGGACTTAAACAGGATGCTGCATAATAAGGTAGGCTTTGCAATCTTAGAAGCTTTTAGAGGGAGGGACTACCAGCCCCATTTCAAGATAAGGGCTGTGATTGCCTGTCAAATCCTTTGGAAACAGGACCAAGTTTGTAAATCAAAGGTCAAAACTAATGACCTCAAATAAAAATGTTTATAAAAATAACTTGCAGACTGAATATGGGGTTTTCTTGATAGGAAATAAGTATTGTTCTGTGAAGAAATGGGCAATATTGTTTAGATATAAAGAATGTAAGAGGGACTTTTATTGGAGTACATTTGTAGTTTTCATTGTAAATAATAGTAATAGACTATGATTTGTGACTTATTTGTGAATATTAATCATTAAAATTAGGTGATTATTATAAATAAACGTGACTAGAAATCCATGATGTCTTCACAAATTTTTGTCCAGAGCAAGGAAAGGACACCTATGCAAAAGAGCCTATCTGGAATAAGGTTGTTTACTATTTAAACCCTACCAAGTTCAGGCTATTCAGTCAAGGTGGTACAGACTGGATGGTGGTTGAAAAATGACCGACAGTCTTTTTCTTTCCGTAGAGTCTTATGATTTTCGTGACAGTTGCCTAAAGCTTTTTGGATCACCTTTAATTCTAATAACAACTTTTCTTCTTTACCCTCGCTCTTCCTTTCCTCACTCTCTCCCACCACCGTCTGAGTGTCCTCAGTAATCAAGTGCTTTCCTCTTTTGGTACAGATGTCTGTTGGGACTCTATGGGTTTTATCCTGGTAACTCA
Source organism: Homo sapiens (assembly GCF_000001405.40). Classification (NCBI taxonomy): domain Eukaryota; kingdom Metazoa; phylum Chordata; class Mammalia; order Primates; family Hominidae; genus Homo; species Homo sapiens. The sequence continues at coordinate 9,691,233 of NC_000020.11, read as the reverse complement.
GGGACCCCTGCGTTTGAAACACCTACAAGTGCATTTCTTCTTAGGCATGTCTGAGAATATGTTTCTAGGAAACTAGCAGGCAGCTGCAAGGTGCACAGATGTTGTTGCCCTGCCTATATGCCCTTGGCTTTCTCTGGCTGCTGAGCCTGTGTGTGGGGACAGACAGAAATGCTGAGGAAGGCTGGGTACCATGGCTCACACCTGTAATCCCAGCACTTTGGGAGGCCGAGGCAGGTGGATCACCTGAGGTCAGGAGTTCAAGACCAGCCTGGCCAACATGGTGAAACCCCATCTCTATTAAAAATACAAAAAATTAGCTGGGCATGGTGGTGGGTACCTGTAATCCCAGCTACTCGGGAGGCTGAGGCAGGAGAATCACTTGAGCCCGGGAAGAGGAGGTTGCAGTGAGCCTAATTGCGCCATTGCACTCCAGCCTTGGCAACAGGAGTGAAACTCCTTCTCAAAAAAAAAAAAAAAAAAAAAGAAAGAAAGAAAGAAAGAAATGCTGAGGACTACCCCTGGAAGAATCTCTCTCAAACCTCTCAAACCAGTGATGGATAAGAGCTGATGGACAAATGCTGCAGCTTCCTAGATCCAGGGTGGGAAGCAGGGGCTGGCAGTGGTATCAACTCTGAGGTACATTTACCTTCTCTCCAGAGAAGGTCCCCAGCAGGATTGAGGCCCAGTTGCCCACGGTACTCACTTTCTCATTCACTCACCTTGCATTGACAGTCTTCTTTTCCCTGAATTATTTCCCTACTTCCCTACCATTGCTTCCTGGGACTAATTCCCAGATAAACTACCCTGCACTCAAATCCTCATCTCAGAGTCAGTCTTCTGAGGAAACCCAATCTAAAGCACATATTTCTTCTTTCAAAAATGATATGATATACCAGACCAATGCTGATTTTCATCAAAAGCTAATTCTTCCTGGGAATTAGCAGTCCATATTGAAGAACAGCAGCCACTACACACCCCACATGGGGGCATTTTAGATGGTGTGTCGCTGTCAGCCTGCCCTCTGCACAACTCCACTGGGCATTTTGATTCTTCTTCCTGTGACCACCACTCTCCTTTGCCTTTCTGACCAGGGACAGTTCGGCTGACAGTTTTTCTATCAGCTGACCTAAGTGAGTCAATTCCTATTTTTATGATACTGTTGTCTGACTGGCTGAGCAAAGAAGATTGTTTTTGTGAGGATGGAGAGGTGTATGTTTTTTTCAAATATCTAGAGTACAGCATCTTGTTATCCTCAAAGAAGAACTGATCTTCATGTGAGGGTGTCTGTATGTAAATGTTCTTATGAGCTCTGATGCCTGCAGGCCTGCTTGGCAATTATGTGCCTCAGAATGACCCAGAAGCCCAGATGTGTTCCAGTTATCTCCATACACACTTTAAATAAGCACATATGAGTCTACACATGAATTCACAGAGATATCTAAGAGAGATTAGCTGTTAAACTCTTCTTCTCACTCTAATACCAAGATACTTCAAACCCCAAGGTAATCATTATGGATATAGAGGATCAGAAAGCCATTTCAGATAAAGACTTAGAATCTGAATAATCTATTTATCTAGTTCAAGTTACCGAAATAGCTTCCTCCAAGCCAATTTGCAGATGTCCCTTGCTTATCAGCGGTTTCATTGCTGAGTTCCAAATCATTAAACACTTGAAGCATGAAGGCCAGGGAAACGAGTAATTATTGGTTTGGTGAAGTTGCAAGGGAGGTTAGGGAACCCAAGAGAGAGTTAGGCTGCCGGATGTAGACACAAAGGAAGAAGAGGGGTGAAGGAGGAGAAATAATTAAGAGTCTGCTTGCAATCAATTGAGTGTCCATCTGCTATTGAAGTCATCGTAACACCAAATGCAGGTAATTGGTATTTGGCTGAGTAGACAATTAGGCTGGCCACAGAATGAAAGGAAGCCAAAGACTGGTGAGTTTATCCTGCATCCTTATTTCCTCCTCTTTCTGAAGCAGAGTTTGAGAACTGAGAAGTGGCAGACAGAACCTCCCACGGTTTCTGCAGAGGGGAGTTTGCAGAGCAGTGACACCTCCTGACTCAGAAAACAAATGAAGCAGTACCTGAGGAGAGAAATGTTCAACTACAGACGTTAATTATACAAACAAAGGCAATAAGGGCTGGCGGTTCTTTGGGAACAATTTGAAATATCACTTCTCTTATATAAACGAAGTTGTTATTGTGATGGGACTATTTTCTAATGATTCAGGATGCTCATTTAGAATCATATGACTGAGTCCACATTAATGTCACTGCATCTGCAGTGATGAAACTACGTTGGTGCAGTGGTACTTTATATTAATTGAGGCTTCTATCACTTGGTAATCTGAGAATCATCACTGAGTAGGACTAACTAGAAAAATGTAAGTTAGAATTTATATAGCACACGTTTTTGCCAGTCACCGTCCTAAATTGTTTCATATGACAACACATTTAACAACTCCAGATTTTTTTTGCTAGTGGGGAAACTGAAGCATAGAGCTGCACAGGTGAAGTGTTGGAGTGCCCCTGACTCACTCCTCACCCCATCCTGTGTTCATGCTATGTGAGCTTCAACCTCTTGGTGTCCTGGGAGGAATTACCAATGTTTCCTGGTCTCTGCTTGTCCCTGGCTTTGCTTGGAGGATAAGAGGAAGGGGCCATCACTGGGCAGACAAGGATGCTATCAGCAGCAGGAAAGAAGCCCCAAGCAGGGGAGCCTTGTGCCCACCAAGGACAGATGGGCAGTCAGCAGGAGAACCAGGGACCTGAGTCAGGGTTGGTTATCAACTGAGTGGACATACAGGTGTTTTCCCTCTGTTCTTATAGGCCTTGGGGTATTTCAGGTCTCCTTTGAAGAAGCCGCTCGAGTTTAAAGAGATTCTCTGTCCTCTCCTAAATAACACAAAGTGCGTGGTGTTGGGGAGGCAGGCAGAGGGGTGGGAAGTAGAATTTGTTTGAAGCAAGACATTTCCTGCTGGCTTCTCATGGGACTCTCAGAAGAAGTCTAGCTTGGAAATAGGAAGGAAGCAAAGTCTGCCCTCTGTTTAAATCTGCATTTTCACCCTGTACCTGCCCTTGGTTTCCACCATGGCTGTTCTCTGGCCAGTTTTAGACTATTTCCGTCTCCCCAAAGGGCTCTGGCCTCTCTCTCACCTTGGTGTCTGCTTATATATTTAGCACATCCTTATCCCAGTCCCTGCCCCCACCATCGCCAATCCATCCAACCCTTTCCCCACATCTCAGAGCCTTCCTGGACCCAGCATTCAATTCTGGAATGGATAATCCCTACACACATACACACAGATGCACACACATAACACACACACACACACACACACACACACCTCCCTCTCTTGACTTCTCTTCATCTAAGCACTTTTTATACCCCAGTGCAATTAGATCATTGCTTTTTCAGGTAATTGTTTCTCTGAGTGCTCATGGGGACAAAGATTCCCTATTCTGTGCATCTATGTGTGTCCTCAGTGCTGGGCACATGGTGGACACAGAATAAATGTTAATTGAATGGACAAATGAACTCACCCTAGTGCCTCAAAAAAAAGTGTTTGGCCGTATCTGAAGCCATGATGTGCGGGTTTCAAAATCACCATGTATTTCTATGTCTGGCCCCATGCTTTTGAAAAACATGAAACCTGGAGAAACTCTGACCCAGTTAATACCCAAAGACGCCCCTGTATGATGAGCATCATGTAAAGTAATATTTTTGGTAGGCAGTGAAGGAAATCAGAATTCAAAATGATATGGTAAAATTGGAGTTTTAGAATAAAATCCAGTAAAAATAAAGAGCACAAGGGACCATGATTGGGCAGGGGAAATACTTTACAAGTTAGACAGAAAATGATAAACTACAAGTTAAAGTGTCATTTGAAGATATCCAGGAGGGATGATGTGACTCAAGCTTCCTAAAAATGAGAATCTTGGCACTGTATCTAAAAAGAAAAATACGCAGACTTGATATATGCAGTAGATGCTCTCTGAGCGCCACCCATAGACATTGAGCTTTTCCATTTGCTCTCAGCTGCCAGTATGGGCAGCCTTGGGGCTGAGGCCTCTTTTTTCCATCCTGAGCAAAGCTATACAGCCTGGGCATAAGATAGGCTGGAGGTTTCAGTGAACTAACACAGTCCCCAAGAGCAGCTCTCTGCCAGTTAATCTCTCAGGAGGGGGCGGCTCCTTTGCCTCTTAGGTGAGATAATTTGGAAATACTTGCTTTATACCTATTCTCAGAGTTCCCTAGCAGAACTGAGCCTCAGTCACACACTGAGTCACTGGCTCACCAGCTCACCCTTAATTAGCTTTCTTCTCTTTCACATATTACATCTTTGCTTCCCTAACAATGGTCCCTGTACTTCCCAAATAAACTCCTTATACTCGATGCTTGCCTCAGGATCTGCATGAGGGGCAACTTTAAACTTCAAGAATGTATCAGTCAGGACACAGATAAGAAAGGGAATCCATCCCAGGTGGTTCAGACGAAGGGGTCTCAATGCAAGGGTTACCTGCAGAGGTATGGAAGCAAACAAAAGATGTTGAGGCCTCCAGGGACTAGCAGCAACAGGAAGCCTTTACTGTTCCTAGGTCGAAGGGGATAGGGGATGCAAGTGTTTTCACAGGAGCTGTAATCATAGAAGGATGCAGCTACTTCCAGTGTGCCAAAGTGGGCTGCAGGGGCGCACACCTGTAATCCCAGCAGTTTGGGAGAGGCAGGAGGATTGCCTGATCCCAGGAAGTCAAGGCTGCAGTGAGCTATGAGCATGCTACTGCACTCCTGCCTGGGGTGACAGAGCAAGAGCCTGTCTCAAAATAAAACAAAACAAAAAAGATACCAAACAGGAAGGGAAAAGGAAGGAAATACCCTGGCCTGTGTCTCCTCCTGCCCTCACATCATCTACCTGTGCCTCCCAGTGACTGAACCCACTCAGACACCAGTCACCAAGGGAGTCTCTGTCAAATGGTCCACATGGGTCAGCTTCTGAGGCACAGAGAAGGGCAGATACTGGATTTGGCAAAGCACACAAAGAATAAATAGCCCACATGGTTTTCCTGTTTATTACACTGGTGACTTGGCTCCTGCTGAGAGCACATCAGATTCTAGATTCTATTACTGAAGAATTTAGAAAGCCTTTTTTTGCCACTACAAAGATGATTTAAAAATTAAGGCATTGAGACCCATTAAGAAAATTATTTAAGGCTTATTTAGCTCAAAGAAAAGCAGTCTGAAGGACCAATTAATATTGTTCATTGCATGTAGCAACACTTTGCTAATCAAGAAGTTGGGCTCCAACATGATAATTTTTTTATCAGAAACTTCCAGGCCAGGGATGCAGGCAGAATGGGGCTGTACTTCATAACACAGAGGGTGTCATTGACATGACATGTTCAGTAGATAAGTACTAGCAGAAGTAGTACCAGCTGATATTGAGCACATGCTATGTTCTAGACACTGTGCTATGAGTACCATATCACCTCTTGAAATTCTGAGAACATCCCAATTATACAGATACTGTTATCCCCTTTGTATTAGTTTTCTGGGGCTACTATAACAAAGTACCACAAACTGGGTGACTTAAACAACAGAAATTTATGAAATTTATTGTTTCCAAGTTCTGGAGCTGGAAGTTCAAGATCAAGGTGTCAGCAAGGTTGGTTCCTTCTGAGAGCTGTGAGGGAAAAAATCTGTTCCACATATTTCTCCTAAATTCTAGTTGTTTTCTGGCAATCTTTTACTCTCCTTGTCCTGTGGATCTCTTTCTTCATGATTATTTGTGGTTCTCCCTGTGTATATCCGTGTCCATATTTTCCTTTTCTATAAGGCCACCAGACATATTGGATCAAGGCCCAACCTAATAACCTCATCTAAACTAATTACATCTATAATGACTCTATTTCCAAATAAAGTCACATTCTGAGACCTTGGAAGTTAGGACTTCAAAATATGAACTTTAGAAGAACCCACTCAGACACCAGTCACCAAGGGGGAAAACTGTAAGATGAGAAAACTGAGTCAGCAAAAATTGAAGTGACATAAGGTTTACCCAGTTAGAAAATGCTTAAAAAGATACTCAGTGTGCTAGAGAACATGTGTCACAAGCCTGAGATCAGTGCTATGGAAAGACAAGGGAAGTGCTGGATTCAGATTTTTAGAGATGTTAGAATCAAGCTATATTCAAGAAGGAAAGAGATTAAATGAAGGGCTGGAAGGAGAGAGTGCATTTATAGTCCTGAGAAGTTGGGGCTGGCAAGTGGTCCTAGGAGAAGGAAAGGAGAAAATCTGGTTAGATCCTCTATACAGCAGCCTCCTCTGAGAATGAAGGACATTTGCCAAGGCAGGCATACTCCCCACTTCCACCCCAAAGATCCCCAGTGGACATCAGATCTGCCTTCCAGCCAGCTTTTAGTCTTAAGAAAACCTTCTACCTATTTATTAGAATTCCTGGAAAAGAGGAGGAAAAGCTATTAAGAGGCTTAAAAATACTAATGCCTAACTGAAGAAACATTCAGCAGGAATGAGTGTAATCAGTTTGGTCATTAGTTTTTTTGATTGAAGTGGAGAATAGAAAAAAAATGCATTTATAGAAAGCAACAGAGGCCATGCAGGATGCAGTGCAAACATCTAAATGTCCCCGGGAGGAAGGAAAAGAGGATCATCATGTTACATTAGCAAACCAGTATGTCCACATGCTTCATAATAAAGAAAACTGGCAAGTTATCAATAGCTTTTTTCTGCACGTTTCTAAACCTTGAATACTGCCCTTCCTTGAAGTCTTTCATGGCTTGACTTTCATATCTTCAATGCCCTCTGATTTAATCTGAGCAGGCACATCACTATAACAAACAGCTTCAAAATTCTCAGTGATTTAATGCAATAGGAGTTTCTTCTTCATACTCCAGTCCAGTGTGCATCCTGGAACCATAATCCTTAGGGAGTTTTCCAGGGTCACATAACTAGTGTAAGTGGCAGAACCATAATCTGAGCCCAAACAGTTTATTTCCAGAGAGTCAGTGTTCTCCTAACAACTACAGCTCCTGGTTCCAGTATCTCTGTAGTCACAGTTGGCTACCTTCTATGACAAACAGTCCAAATTCCCAATGGTTTAACACAATAAAGTCCTATTTCTTATTCACTTCATAGTCCAATGGGACTGGTTCTTGTTGGCAGTCTTCTTCCACATGCTCCATCAGGGACCCAGGCTTTTGTTCCACTCTCCTCTGTCCGCAGAGAACTATCTATTCAACTGGCATGTGAGGAGAAAGAGAAAGCTAAGATCAGTCAGGGGAATTTTCTGGACCATTCCAAGAAGTCAAGTAAATGCACTACATTCATATTTCACTGGCCTCACTCAGTCACATGACCATATCCCAGCCCTTTGGGAGACTGAGACAGGAAGATTGCTTGATCCCAGGAAGTCAAGGCTGCAGTGAGCTATGATCACACTACTGCACACCTGCCTGGGTGACAGAGCAAGAGCCTGTCTCAAAACAAAACAAAACAAAAAAAGGTACCAAACAGGAATGGAAAAGGAAAGAAATACCCTGGCCTATGTCTCCTCCTGCTCTCACATCATCTACCAGTGCCTAGATACAAGGGAGACTGGGAAACATAATCCACTATATGCCCAGGATAAACAGGGAAAGGATTTGGTCACAACTTTATATCTCAGACAAATCCATGTGTAAGAAGACAACAAGGAGGAAGAAAAAGAAGAGGAAGAAGGAAAAAGAAGCAGAAGATAGATCCCCCAGGCTTTATAATATCTCATAAGGAGTTGTATTTACCTTCATCTGGTCCTATATTAATGGAAATTACATTGCAGCTGCAAATAGGCAGCATCACTTTCTGAAATTTCTGAGAAATACAGATTATCTTCCACATGAATGAGCTAGTGTGTAGAAACTTCATTCCCAAAAGGACAGCTAACCGAGTCTCACTCTATGTAGAAATATAATTATTCACCGACTGTGGGGCATGTATTTTTCCATTCCTTCGGAGAACAGAGCCAGAGGCAGGAACCTAAATTGCAGCATGAGATATTTTTGGGTAAATAGAAATGTGAGGGAGTGTGTGTGAATATTTGAACAGCATTCCTAAGAAGGTTTGTGGAATTTGCTCTGGAGATTTCTAGTGAACAATATAGATTCACTTCGGTCCCTAAAGGGAAGAGTATCAGCCCAACTATTAGTATCCAAGTGTTCTGAGAGTGCAGATTACTTAAGCGCTAAGTTTTAAGTCCTAGCACCCTAATGTCTGGAATGGAGTTAGAGTAAATCCTACAGCTTCTTTCACAGAATATATAAAGCTACCTTCTAGAGCTTGAACATCATTAGACATTTTTACTTCACCTGTGGATCATCCCATATACAAGATGTTGTCATTCCAATGGATGAGGAGCTGTACAAAATATGGCAACCCCCTCTTGCCTCCTTTGACCATCAAAGTGAATATATAGGCATAGACTTCCCTTCTTACACCTATTTAAGAACATAAAGAACTTGTGTAAGAACATAAAGAACCTCAAGAACATAAAGTGGCACAGATTGTGGGGTTCACCTCAATATGTTTTCCCTTTCCCCAGGACCTTGGGTCCCCGAGTGTTTGTAGTCCTAATATTCAAGTTGTAATTCCCCAGACCAATAAAACCATTGCAAGCTCACTTCAGTGCTGCAACCTTTTGGCCACTGCTTTGTGCTTCACAGCTTGGGTTTTGAATCTGTAATTCTTCTAAGTGAGGAAACGCCTTGAGAGGAAATGAAGCTCAGAATGTCAGATTCACCTCACATCTTTCTTTTCTCACCAAGATCCTCACCTATTGAGTTCTGGCTGCCCTAGTAGGTTTTTTTGTTTGTTTGTTTGTTTTCTAGACAGACTCTTGCTCTGTTGCCCAGGCTGGAGTGCAGTGGCATGATCTTGGCTCACTGCAAGCTCTGCCTCCCTAGTTCATACCATTCTCCTGCCTCAGCCTCCCGAGTAGCTAGGACTACAGGCGCCCGCCACCACGCCTGGCTAATTTTTTGTATTTTTAGTAGAGACAGAGTTTCACCGTGTTAGCCAGGATGGTCTCGATCTCCTGACCTCGTGATCCGCCTGCCTCAGCTTCCCAAAGTGCTGGGATTACAGGCATGAGCCACCGCGCCCAGCCCGCCCTAGTAGCTTTCTAGTACCTGTCAACATAGCTTCAAAATAAATTGTCAAACTTTTCTCGTTGTAGGTGGAAGCGTTTGTACAACACCCTTTTCAGACAATAGAATTACATCTTTAGGTTCTGGAAGGAAACCTAAGACTCTCTATATAGTGAAGAAGCCTCCAAAAATTAAGTAAAACGGAGGTGTTTATAGACTAACAAAAACAGGGTATTTTTCACCAGGAGACCTGAAGTAAAAGGAGAAATTTAAGCGAGAGAAAATCAAGAGGGAGGGATACACAGACATGCAGAAAGGAATAAAGTATGAGAGAAATAATAAATGTAAATGAATATTAACTATATTAAATAATAATGTTTTAATAAATGGCTTTCAGTTTGTAAAGAATTACAAAAGATAGTATGAAGCAAATGCAATTCCAAGGCTCTTACATTGAACAGGAAGTAGTAAGCTTACTAACATAAAAAAGGCTATAAAGAGATAAAGATTTATGTTGCCATCTCCAGGGATATTATTCAAAGAAAAGCAAAATAATATGCAATTATCTAGCTAATAGAAGGGGGAAAAGGAATGATAACAAATACTTGATTGACCCAAAAAGCCAGAAAGCAGAGAAAAATAAAGATAGGACAAGTTGGGGGAAACATCTTTTAAGCAAGATAGTTTATTTTAACCCGTCTATATTACATTAAATATGAAGGGACTAAACCCTTCAACTGAAATACAGAATGTGTGGCTGGATGAAATAAAAAAGAAATAAGAAGCATATGTTGCTTACAAAAGACATCCCTTAAATATAATGATACAGAGAGGTTGGAGAAATAATACTAATAAAAGAGACCATGCAAAAAAATAAAATTAAAAAGCCGATACAGCTAAGTTTACATAAAAACTCAAGTGAATGTTAAGGCAAGAAGCATTTTTAGAGATAAAAATGTATTATACTTTATTGAAGAATCATTCCACCAGAAAGATATAACGATTCTTAATATCTGTGTACCAAATAATACAGCCTCAACATAGACGCAAAAATTGATAGAATTAAAAGGAGACATTGGCAAATTCACAACTCTTGGTAACTGTTAAACAAACCAAAAGGAATAAAAGAAGATTTGACAAAATAGTTTGCAAACTTAAACTAATTGCCATACATAAAACGCCGCACCTAACAATTGCAGAATACACATTCTTCTGAAGTGGACATAAAATATTTGCTAACGCTGATCCTATCCTAGGGTAGGAATGTCCCTTTTTGAAGACACCTCTCAGACAGCCTGTCCTTGGGAAAACCTTCTTTGGCAGCACCCCTGCTCCGGTCTGGAGCAGACCCAGTTAGGACTCCTTAGCATTTAACATTCCTCTACATGTCTATATCTTCTTCCTGCAAACACTGGGGATTCTCTCCGGAGGACTTTTTCTGGTCACAGAAACATGCTCAGGGCCATGCACACTTCAGGGTAGAAATGCCAAGGAGTTAATGTGTCAGGTACAGTTCCCAACTCATAAAAAATGGGAATTGCTGAATAAATGTCCCACTTCCTTGCCCTTCAGATGGGACCACCCTGGGGTACAACCTATACCACCTCTCAGAGACCCTCATCAGGACCGAGCTCCAGTTGCTGACAGTAGTAACCTGTTGGAAATATGCTCTGCACTGGCTGCTTTTTTGGTCCTATCTCACTTCCTCATGTTCTTACCATTCCTCCTGAGATATCTCAGGTAAAGGACTTGCACTCAAACTCTTGTTTAAGGATCAGCTTCTGAGAACCCAAACTAAGACAGGGCCCCATCTGTGCTTGCTGATATAACTTTAACTTACTAAATTACAGTGATCCATCTCCTTTTGTGAGCATTTTGATGGTAGAGACTATGCTTTTATCTCTGTGGCATAGCACCTGGCACATGACACCTAAGAAGTGCTCAACTAGTGCTCAGTAGCCATTGTTTAATCAGTGAATGAAGCCTGATTTGAAACTCATCATCCATTAGCTCTCAGCACAAGGCTGCCTGAACGGATCACATAGGTAGGTTTTGAAAAAGAGAGAGTAGAAACAAATCTGAACTCTTAGGAGGACAGGCCTAGATTACATGCCACAGGGAATATCCCTAAACATACTAGTATGTCCAAAGAACCCAGAGGACCTGCTATGCAGATGCACATGGCACCTTCATGGAAGAAAAGCAAGGCTGATGAAAAGGGATGTCAGCATTCCTGAGATGCGCTTTTGTCCATCACAATTTTGCCTGGAGCCAGCCCTGTTTATTACATGAAGACATGCTTTGTTCTGTTGGGATTTTATTTGAAATCAATTCTTAATTTGATTTTAAGGGAAGCAGTGATGTTGGGAAATGAGAGCACCGTATTATTCTCAGAGATTGTCCTTGAAACTAAATGGGTCTGCCACATCACTGCACGACTCTACTGTTTTGCCCTATTTATAATGCTTTGTTTATCTGTTGTTCCCAGGAAAATAACCTCACCTTGACCTCTTAAGCATCTTTTGAATGTCAGCAATATGAGAATTACTATGCCAGGAGTTGGGAGATGAGAAAAAAAAGGTGTTTACCATCCAGAAACATAAGATATAATGGAAGAGACAGATGCACAGACATAAAATGTTCTCAAGATTGAAGATAAGGCATGTACCAAGAATCTTAAAAGCACAAAGGATAGACAGTGGACCCTTGAACAATGTGAGGCTTAGGGGTACTGACCTTTACACAGTCAAAAATCCATGCATAACTTTTGACTCCCCCAAAACTTAAACTACCTATGGCCTACTGTTGACTGGAAGTCTTACTGATATCAGAGTCAATGACACATATTTTGTATGGTGTATGTATTATATACTGTATTATTACAATAAAGTAAACTAGAGGAAAGAATATGTTACTGAGAAAAATTACAGGCAAGAGAAAATATATTTACTATTCATTAAGTGGAAGTGGACCATTGTATATATCTTCATCCTCGCTTTATGCTGAGGAGACTGAGGAGGATGGGGAACAGGAGAGGTTGGTCTTGCTGTCTCAGGGGTAGCAGAGGTGGAAGAAAATCTGCATCTAGGTGAACACATGCAGTTCAAACCTGTTTTGTTCAAGGGTCAACTGTGTATTCAGACTCTGCCTGGGAATATCAGCTAAGGCTTCTGATATGGTTTGGCTGTGTCCCCACCCAAATCTCATTTTGAATTGCACTTCCCATAATCCCCATGTGTCGTGGGAGGGACCCAGTGGGAGGTAATTTAATCATGGGGGCGGTGACCTCCATGCTGTTGTCATGATAGTGAGTAAGTTCTCATGAGATTTAATGGTTTTATAAGGGGCTTTCCCCCCTTTTGCTTGGCACTTCTCTGTCCATGTGAAGAAGGACATGTTTGCTTCCCCTTCTGCCATAATTGTGAGTTTCCTGAGGCCTCCCCAGCCATGTAAAACTGTGAGTCAATTAAACCTCTTTTCTTTATAAACTACCCAGTCTCGGTATGTCTTTTTGTTTGTTTCTTTTGTTGAGATGGAGTCTCGCTCTGTCACCCAGGCTGGAGTGCAGTGGTGCAATCTCAGCTCACTGCAAGCTCCACCTCCTGGGTTCACGCCATTCTTCTGCCTCAGCCTCCTGCGTAGCTGGGACTACAGGCGCCTGCCACAATGCCCGGCTAATTTTTTGTATTTTTAGTAGAGACGGGGTTTCACCGTGTTAGCCAGGATGGTCTTGCTCTCCTGACCTCATGATCCACCTGCCTCGGCCTCCCGAAGTGCTGGGATTACAGGCATGAGCCACCATGCCTGGCCTCGGGTATGTCTTTATTAGCAGTATGAGAATGGACAATTACAGCTTCTTCAAGCTTGTTCTCTCTAATACATTCTCGAAGGGCACAATTTCCCACAGAAATAAAGATCCCAAGGAGCTATGAGATCAAGACACAAGGTTGTGAACAACCAAAGACTATTTTGGAAAAAATGAGTCTTGTTAGAGCAGAAACATAGAGAAGGTAGAGAGGATTGGTAGAAACTGAGGCTAGAGACAGGATCTTGACATTTGCTTGTGCCATGGGATGGCAATCTGATGAGCCCATGGTCCCTTCTCAGAATAATTTCAACTATAGGTATTTGAAGTTTTCAGAAAGTTGAAAAAATTGTAATATGATAGCATATATGCTTCTTTATTAACACATTAAATAACAAGACCTAACAGTAGGCCTAATACCTACTACAATTTTAAGTGGTGATGAGCATAAACGGTATTTCAAGAAAGCCACTATACTGTCCTATGATATTTAAATACCTGTGATTTCCATGAGTGAAAGAGTCACAGGTACTGCTACTACGATTATGGTCTGTTGCTTACATGCATAATTTAGGAAAATATCAGTTTCCATTCACAGTTAAAAAAGATAAAGTTAACAGTTTTCTGGTCAAACTGAAATCCAAATGGTCATAGCCATTCTGGATGAGGTTAAGAACACACAGGTGAGAAATTGGCTGATGTTCCAAGAGTTCAGACTTTTATCTACAAGTAAATGGAAACTAGTGAGTGTTTACAATGGAGGGGTTGCTGGAATCAACATTTTTTTCTAAACTTAAGTGTGGTCACACCCAGGGTTTCATGTCTAAGGCCACCTGTTGCAGCCTATGGTGCAGGCCCTGCTCCTAGAAAATCAAAGTAGAAAAAGAAAGAAGAGACCAATATATCTGAGAGTCTACAAGCCTGAGCTGCTCAGCCTTAGCTCTTCTACTCCCTCTAGTAAGGACAGAGCGTTATGCCGAGGCTGGAGTGCAGAAGCCGGGGTCTGAATGTGATGCATCCTATTAGAATGCTGAGTCACATTAGATTTGTTGGAAGAGAGATCCCAAGTGTGGAGGAAAACCTGAGCTTCATATTAAAGCTGAATACATTATGAAGTGAAAGAGAATATTTTTATTGCTTTAAATTTTTAAAAAAGACATTCCTTTCCTTCTGTCTTCCATGCAAAATAATTATAACAACAAACACACACACACACACACACACACACACACACACACACACACATGCACATACCCTGATTTTGATTTCCCTGTGGTTTTCAGGAAAACATATTTATTTTCCTCTGTCTTTAGATATTCCTCAATGATAAAATGTTAGGGTCTCTGAAATGCTAGCCAACACCCATTTGGACTCAGTATTCTCTAATTTTATTGTCAGAATATCAGATATGCATTAATGCACAAAACATAAGCATATTAAATATCAGCAAATATACAAAACTGTGAACACAATTGAGAGTGGATTAACAAAGTTTCTTTGTCCTTCTGGGTATTGAATTATCACCAATCAAGATGATTTCATATCAAAGCCAGGACAGTGTTTCATGTATATGTACATATTTATATGTATGTGTGTATACTGATCTACCTTTTCAATATTCTCCTAAAGACTTTCCTTTATTTTCATATTGAGAAAACACAATTCAGAATTCAGAACAAGTCCCTTTCTCCCTCTATCTCACTTCCCAACCATGTTTTCCAGCAAAGCTGAAATTGAAACTATCCTGTTTTCTTTCCTGTTTGTTAAAAAATGACATCAATAATATTCACACAGTTCCCAGGAATAGGATCCTACTAAACTCTCTCTTATTTTTCTTTCTGTAGAAATTGTAATTGTAGTTTATTAGGTCCTTCAAAAATAATAAATCATAATTTTATAAAAAGATCAAGTGTAATATTTTAGTATTCACATTAAATATATAGATTGACCCAATTTAAATAATTCATATATTGCCTAAAGCAGTTTGATATGGTTTGGCTGTGTCCTCACCCAAATCTCATCTTTAATTCCCACATGTTGTGGGAGGGACTCGGTGGGAGGTAATTGAATCATGGGGGCAGGTCCTTCCCGTGCTGTTCTTGTGATAGTAAGTCTCACGAGATTTGATGATTATTGTAAGGGGGAGTTTTCCTGCACATGCTTTTTTCACTTGCTGCCATCCATGTAAGATGTGACTTGCTCCTCCTTGTCTTCCAACATGATTGTGAGGCTTCCCCAGCCATGTGCAACTCTAAGTCCAATTAAACCTCTTTCTTTTGTAAATTGCCCAGTCTTGGGTATGTTCTTATCAGCAGCATGAAAATAAACTAATACACAGTTTTTGTTGCCTTACTTTACCAATTTACAATTATAGCTATGTTGTAAGTGTTACAGAATTAAAAATTAAACATTGCTCATAACAAGTTGTCACCAAATAGCCTTGTGACTAACAGAATAAGCAGCAAGACACATGGTATCAGTTGACTAATTTGTTTGTTATCCATAAATATTTTGGCTGACTATATAGTTTGCCTTTCTTCTTTAGAAACATGCCTTCCTCTCATAAATGTTAATTTTAAGAATGTGAACTGAATAATGTAACAGAATGGGGAAGAAATGAATATTTGGAACAATTAATTATTAATTGGAGCTGGGTATGGTGCCATGCACCTGTAGTCCCAGCTTCTCAGGAGGCTGAAGTGTGAAGATTGCTTGAGCCTGGGAGCTCAAGACCAACCTGGGCAACAGAGAGAGACTCCATCTCTAAAATAAATAAATAAATAATAAATAAATAAAATTAATTATTAACCTGTTAAGTTTTATCCATTCATTTATTCAAATGTTGAACAAATATTTAAAAGCACCTACTGTATGCCATGCTGTGTGCTAAGTACTGAGGTCCTACTTGTCCTTTTGGTTTTAAGTTAGAGCTTTGTCACCCCCAAGCTGTATGATCCTTATTTTATTGTCCTTGCATTAGAAAAGAATCTCCTCTGTGCTTCTATCAGTATGCAGCTGGACTGCTTTAACTCTTCTCCTCTTTTATTTTTTGTCATAACTTGTCATTTTTTAACTCTTCTCCTCTTTTATTTTTTGTCATATATATTTAGTTCTGTCTACTCAGAAAGCTTCTAGGATCTCCATAGCCTTGCAATTCTCAGTCTGAGGAAACCCCTTTACTCAATTAAAATACAAACAATTTGTAAATGTACTGTTTTCCTCAGGAGCCAGAGTTCCTATTTAGGAGGAATTGTGCAGCAGATGTTGTAAGTGGCTCACCCAGATCCCCAGTTCCCCCTCCTTGGGCCACCCCAGCTGCTGTGAGTGCTGACTACTAATGACCTGCAGCTAGCTCCTTCTCTGAGGCATTACTCTCAGCCAATGGAAGCATCTCCACCCAAGATGCTGAACTCACAGGTGATGACTGACATGGGTTACAAACATGACTGACATGGGGTACAAGCTCCCTTTGCCTGGGAGGCAGCTTATGCTCCAGAGTTCCCTTGATATTCCCTTGATATTAGACTGAGACTAGACTCCAGCTCAGGTCACAGCCTGTTCAGCTCTCACTTCCACCTGCCCTGCTTTCCTGAAAGCACTCCCTCAATAAATCTCGAGCATTTAAATCACTGCTTCAGGCTCTGCTTCTGCATACTCAACTTAAGGCAGCAAGAATCCTGCCAAATTTTGCCTTCCTTTGTCTGCCAAACCAGGACATCTCAGCCTGTTCCATATGACTTTCCTCATTTCAAATAACAAAATCAGTTAAGATTCCAATGTCAAAGAAATGTCAAAGATTACTCCACAGCAAGATCTATAGAGGGAAGTACCTCAGAGGGAAACATATAAGAAAGCTTGTATCGTATTCTTCCTCTAGTATTGATCCCCAAGTACACTGACTTCAGGACACATAGGGTCTCAAGTTCTTTTTGAGGGGTAGGCAGGGAGAGGGTTCAATTCCACATATGCCTGTTGAATCTATGTATCTTAGTAATCAGAGACTCTCTTGGTTAGCTCAGGAAAAAAAAAGGGTGAGGAGTCATTGTTAGAACTGTGGATCTCAAGGATAGCTAAAAATAGGCCACAGTAGAAGCAGACTTGGAAACTCAGTCTTACTCCCTTCAGCAAGGCCGTGCCATTCTCATTCTGTTTCTGCTGCTAGACTTCCTGGCTTTTGGGGCTTTTCTTTCCTCATAATTCCCATTTACATGGGGCCATTATGCAGCCCAGAGTCTTCTGTAGCACAACATATCAAAATGTATTACATCAGTCCCATTTGCATGCTAACTAGCAGAATCTCCTAGTTTTCTGATTCTAAATCCATGTTTCCAATTAGCCCAGTTTAACTTTTCTCACCAGATTTTAAGCTCCTTATTGGGCAGCTTATGAGCAGACTGCACTGGGGTCAGTGGCCCTCCCAGGAGTGCTGGGGGTTGGTAGGGCAAGTATGTTGTCTACAACAATTAGGCTTCCATGCGGTAGGATTGTGGGCAAGGGAAAATTTCCCAGAGGGGGTCTGTGGGCAGAAATGTCCCATAAAAACTATAATACAGTATACTGATGGACAAGTAGGAGCTCAAAGAACAGTTTCAACTTGATTATTGTTAGAACAGATAAGAGGAAAAGTTAGGAGGCAGATAAACTGCCATTAAATCAACCAGATAAATAATAGTAGAATCATTTATAAATACTGTTGACATCTCCTCAGATAACATATAACCTCCAAGGCTTTAGAGATGTACTATCCAGTGTGGAAGTTACTAGCCACATGTGGTTATTTAAATTGAACAAAATTAATGGAAATTAAATATAATTTTAAAAATTAACTCTGCAGTCTCAGCAGCCACATTTCCAGTGCTCAAAACCTCCATGTAGCTCACGGCTACTCTATTGACAGATACTGACACATGTCCAGCATTTGAAAAAAGTTCTCTTGGAATGCACCTATTTAAAAGTATTATTGCTTTTATTTAAGGAAAGAGATTTGAGAGATTCATTTCTTTTTTAATTCTTTTTTTTTCTTTTCCAGTAAATATGATAATAAACACAATTTGAATCCCTTTCCTGGAAACACATTAAGGATTAGGTGCCAGGTTTCTTCCATCTGTTATAACAGGAAGGCCAACTGGTATTTTGTAGTTATTTTAAGTGTAATAATATGTCAAACACACTAAAAACATTCTATGTCTGTCACTTAATGTTAAGATTTCTCTCTTGCCCATGTTATTTTTTTCCTTTCATATGGGCAATTGTTTTGCATAAAGATGAATAGGTAGAGAGAAGGGGAGGTGAGCATTATTCTTTGAGTCTCTGTACCTTAGAGTCAGAAGGGACCTCAAGGATCTAATAGACATTTCCCATCTAATGCAGGAATTGCATTTGCTGCCTCCTTTATAGGTGAAGCTATTGCTGCTCAAGAATTACCAAATGCAGACTACTGTTCAAGAGCCATCTATTTGTATCTATACTTCCTATCTGTATATGTGGGCAAAGTAAAAGGAAAGGAAATATATTATTGTAATTCTGAGATTGAACAGATACTTATTTTCAACTTTTTGCTTTTTAGGATTTACTGAGTGTATTAGTCTGTTCTCAAGCTGCTAATAAAGACATACGCGAGACTGGGTAATTTGTAAGGGCAAGAGGTTTAATTGACTCACAGTTCCACATGGCCGAGGAGGCTTCACAATCACGGCAGAAGGTGAAGGAGGGGCAAAGTTACATCTTACATGGCAGCAGGCAGGAGAGCGTGTACAGGGGAACTCCCCTTTATAAAACCATGAGATCTTGTGAGACTTATTCACTATCATGAGAACAGCACAGGAAAGACCCACCCCCATGGTTCAATTACCTCCCACAGGCTTCCTCCCATGATAGGTGGGAATTATGGGAGCTACAATTCAAGAGGAGATTTGGGTGGAGACACAGCCAAACTATATCACTGAGTATCTAGTATGTGCCAGGATTTCACATGTATATTAAATAAAATAACCATACATACTGAAATATATCAGGCATTCATTAAATGTTATGTATATAAATGGGTTGCATTTCCAGTTATTGTCATGTAAGCATAATTTGGAGTAAAAAATTTTCATGGAAATTATTTTAAAAATTGATGCGTTAGTTCCTAGGCTGCCTTCAAAAGCTGAATTAATCTATAATATATGGCTATATCAAGATTACCTCTGTAGGAAAATCTAGTTTTTTTTGTCCTTCCTCGCTGATTATCTCTCTTCTTTCTTTCATTTGTTCATTCCTTCAACAAATTCCACATTCAGAGACTAGGAACAAAGCTCTTTCTTATCTAGATTTCTGTAGTGTGTGGCTGATTTTTATTAAGGATCAGGAGTTCTTTGACAGGAACAGGGCCTATTTTAAAGTCAGGGGTACCTTTTACTGAATGGACAAAAACTGGAAGCATTCCCTTTGAAAACTGGCACAAGACAGGGATGCCCTCTCTCACCACTCCTATTCAACATAGTGTTGGAAGTTCTGGCCAGGGCAATCAGGCAGGAGAAGGAAATAAAGGGCATTCAATTAGGAAAAGAGGAAGTCAAATTGTCCCTGTTTGCAGATGACATGATTGTATATCTAGAAAACCCCATTGTCTCAGCCCAAAATCTCCTTAAGCTGATAAGCAACTTCTGCAAAGTCTCAGGATACAAAATCAATGTACAAAAATCACAAGCATTCTTATACACCAATAACAGACAAACAGAGAGCCAAATCCTGAGTGAACTCCCATTCACAATTGATTCAAAGAGAATAAAATACCTAGGAATCCAACTTACAAGGGACGTGAAGGACCTCTTCAAGGAGAACTACAAACCACTGCTCAATGAAATAAAAGAGGATACAAACAAATGGAAGAACATTCTATGCTCATGGGTAGGAAGAATCAATATCGTGAAAATGGCCATACTGCCCAAGGTAATTTATAGATTCAATGCCATCCTCATCAAGCTACCAATGACTTTCTTCACAGAATTGGAAAAAACTACTTTAAAGTTCATATGGAATGAAAAAAGAGCCCACATTGCTAAGTCAATCCTAAGCCAAAAGAACAAAGCTGGAGGCGTCATGCTACCTGACTTCAAACTATACTACAAGGCTACAGTAACCCAAACAGCATGCTACTGGTACCAAAACAGACATATAGACCAATGGAACAGAACAGAGCCCTCAGAAATAATGCCGCATATCTACAACTATCTGATCTTCGACAAACCTGACAAAAACAAGCAATGGGGAAAGGATTCCCTATTTAATAAATGGTGCTGGGAAAACTGGCTAGCCATATGTAGAAAGCTGAAACTGGATCCCTTCCTTACACCTTATACAAAAATTAATTCAAGATAGATTAAAGACTTACATGTTAGACCTAATACCATAAAAACCCTAGAAGAAAACCTAGGCAATACCATTCAGGACATAGGCATGGGCAAGGACTTCATGTCTAAAACACCAAAAGCAATGGCAACGAAAGCCAAAATTGACAAATGGGATCTAATTAAACTAAAGAGCTTCTGCACAGTGAAAGAAACTACCATCAGAGTGAACAGGCAACCTACAGAATGGGAGAAAATTTTTGCAACCTACTCATCTGACAAAGGGCTAATATCCAGAATCTACAATGAACGCAAACAAATTTACAAGAGAAAATCAAACAACCCCATTTAAAAAGTGGGTGGAGGATATGAACAGACACTTCTCAAAAGAAGACATTTATGCAGCCAACAGACACATGAAAAAATGCTCATCATCACTGGCCATCAGAGAAATGCTAATCAAAACCACAGTGAAATACCATCTCACACCAGTTAGAATGGCAATCATTAAAAAGTCAGGAAACAACAGGTGCTGGAGAGGATGTGGAGAAATAGGAACACTTTTACACTGTTGGTGGGACTGTAAACTAGTGCAACCATTGTGGAAGTCAGTGTGGCGATTCCTCAGGGATCTAGAACTAGAAATACCATTTGACCCAGCCATCCCATTACTGGGTATATACCCAGAGGATTATAAATCATGCTGCTATAAAGACACATGCACATGTATGTTTATTGAGGCACTATTCACAATAGCAAAGACTTGGAACCTACCCAAATGTCCAACAATGATAGACTGAATTAAGAAAATGTGGCACATATACACCATGGAATACTATGCAGCCATAAAAAAGGATGAGTTCATGTCCTTTGTAGGGACATGGATGAAGCTGGAAACCATCATTCTCAGGAAACTATCTCAAGGACAAAAAACCACACACCGCATGTTCTCACTCATAGGTGGGAATTGATGAAAACACATGGACATACAGGAAGGGGAACATCACACTCTGGGGACTGTTGTGGGGTGGGGGGGAGGCAGAAGGGATAGCATTAGGAGATATACCTAATGCTAAATGTTGGGTTAATGGGTAAAGCACACCAACATGGCACATGTATACGTATGTAACAAACCTGCACGTTGTGCACATGTACCCTAAAACTTAAAGTATAATAATAATAAAATTTTAAAAATCAAAATAAATAAAAATAAAAATAAAGTGAGGTGTACCTTTATAATAACTTAGGCTTGGCTGGGTTTCTTCTCGTAGGGTAAATTAGAAAGCAAAATTGGAATTAGCTTGTGGCCACTTCTCAGTACCCAAACCAAGGCAGAGATGCTCTCAGCTTGGATGTTGCCTAGATGATGATAGATAAAGCTCTTCTCTCTTTTTCTTGAGAAAAACAATATTATTTTTTGATATACTTTCCTACAAAAACCTCAAATTTTAATCCAAAAAGAAATTCTAGTCCAAGCAAAGTAGAGGAGGACTTTTGATATGATTGCACCTAAATATAGAAGAAAAGGCATATGTGAACCACTTAAAAATAACATAATCACTTAAAATAAAAGTTAAAAAGGGAAATTCAGTTTCTTTAAGATATTTCTAGAAGGAGGCTTGTTATATATGTAACACTGTCATGTGTATATAGATAAGTATATAAGAAATAAAAACTAGCAAGTAAATATATTGGTAATCTGAGTTCAAGAGAAACCATCCTAAATACACTTTTTACTAGATCTAAAATAAAAACCAAATGACATTTTACCTCCAAAAATGGATATTGCCCACTGTTTGAATATTTGCTGTGTGTGTCTTAAAAGATGTGTTACATATATTGCATTACAGCATGTGTAATTATGAATATAACAATATTTTTTGTAAATCACTTTTATTATAGACATGTCCACTGATTCTACAATCAGCACAAGGTTGGATTTTGTGTTCCATTATACATTAAAAATGTCTCTTATGATCCTGTGGATCCAAGGAAAAGATCTCTCGAATATGCCATGATATTGGGCACCAGGAGGCCACTGAGTCAGTGCTGATCTGCATGCAGGCTCCTCGTGCCTTCCCCAGCAATGCCCAGTATAGATGTGGATATTCCCTTTTATTTCTGCACTTAGGTAACTGCCTTAATAGATCCAGATCAAATTAACAAAACTGAAAGCATCTTAATAAAATTTATCAGTAGAACAGAGGTGATGATGTCAGTCAAGTAAATAGCACCCTGGTATCCAGGAACAGCTGATACAACTTCTAACATGCTTTTGTTTATTGGTTTGAGCATGCCACTCCAATATGCAAAAGTGTCGTTCTCGTTCTCAGTGTTATGCTCTCGTAAAATTCACAGGTTCCCTTTCCAAGTCGCCAGTCCCCTTGTTACTGGTCCATCTGTTGACTCCCTTACCTAATCCTGGCTATTTTCCTTCATTATAAGAAAGGGCAAATGAGAAAGAGTGGATGACTCAGCCTTCATGATCTGGCATCCTGCTGAAGGCAGGTAGATATCATCTTTGTGTATAAACATAACATTATATTTTTCATCTAATCATGAAGGATTTAAATTCAGGCAAGAATAGACTCCCTTATACATTCTTCAGGCAACATATCACAAAGGAAAAAAAATGAAAATACTCCATTAGGCTCAAAATTTCCTCTGAAAAAACAAAGACATAGATATGTACATGCTTTATGTTTAGGTTTCTATTACCACTTTGGTTGGATTTATGTGCTTTCAGTATGAATTTAGGAGTACATGTGCTATTGTCTTAGGTTGTATGAGAGAGCTATGAATTTAAATTCTTAGATGGATACCCTAACATGCGGCTTCTCTTTTTAAAGGACAAATTATGTGAAAAAGCAATTCTTAAGGAAAATAGTTCTTTCCTCTTGTTCTCAGTGGAAGCTGTCATGACTCAAATGGTTCAAGGAGATTCTACTCAAATTTCCATTTCTCAGCTTCTGATCTATTTGGTATAATTATTAACCATATATTCAAAAATGAATATCCTTAATACTGGCAAGCTACTATTACTTAAGTGATTTTAGATACTATTAAACACATTAGGCAGGAAATGTTTTGAAAAGGTACTAACAGAGCATGCAACAATTTCTCATTTCATATGTGGAACCATTTGGAATAAACACACATACATAAATCTGCATATATACATTATGGGCTTTAAGTTACGAAATTCTATGTTCTAGTGATCTACTGCTGTGTGACAAATGACCCCAAAACTTAGTGTTACAACAAAGACAACTTTATGATATCTCATGATTCAGTGGGTCAGGAGTTTGATCAACATTTGGTTGGGTGATTTTTATATTCCACAGGGTATTATTAGAGCTTCCCCAGTGGTATGCAACTAGAAGATGAACTTTCTGGAAAATCCAAGATAGCTTCACATATGTAGACCTTGGTGGGAACAGATGAAGGGTTGGGTTCAGCTGGGACTGTTGACTGGAGCACTTGTACATGGCTAGGGTAGTTGAATTCAATACTCAGGGTAGTTGAACTCAATACTCCAAGAGCAAGTGCTCCAGGAGATAGTGAATGGAAGCTGCTAGTCTCTTAGGGCCTGAACACAGACTGGCAAAGCATAACTCTGCCACAGTCACTATAGGCATTCCAGGCTGAAGAGGAGGAGAATTATACTCTACAATTTTTTTTTGACATGGAGTTCTGCTCTTGTCACCCAGGCTGGAGTGCAATGGTGCGATCTCAGCTAACTGCAACCTCTGCCTCCCAGGTTCAAGAGATTCTCCTGCCTCAGCCTCCCAAGTAGCTGGGATTACAGGTGCACACCACCACGCTCAGCTAATTTTTGTATTTTTAATAGAGATAGGGTTTCACCATGTTGGCCAGGCTGGTCTCAAACTCCTGACCTCAAGTGATCCACCAGCCTTGGCTTCCCAAGTGCTGGGATTACAGGCATGAGCCACTATGCCCGATCTACTCTACATCTTAATGAAAGAAGGGACACAAAATTTGCAGCCATGTTTAATCTATCACACTCTGCCCTGGCTGAGAGGGAGAAATGTGGCATCATGGTTAAGAATGTGGAAGACTAGATCTGTCACTGATTCACTGTAAGGTTGTCATCTTTTCATCTAAAACTAAGAATAGTAACAATACTCATCCATATCTCATAGAGTTATGCTAAAAATCAATGTGACAAGCAACATACCTATACATACACACAGATACAAACACACATACAAAGCACTCAACAACTTTTTGCTATTTGTTTTTTTGTTTTGTTTTGTTTTGCATTTTGTTTTGTTTTTTCTTGTTCATCTGAGCTTATGGTGGTGGAGGTGGGGAGACATTGTAGCCAGAAGTAAGAAGGCCACTTGGAGAACAAGGAAATGGGTATCATTGATCAGGCAATCTAATGTCATAACTCAAAATGTTGTGGAACAGAACTTGTCTCCACGGTAGTATTTCCTACTTGGTTTTGCTTTTTGTTTTTGTGGTTTCATTCTTTCTTTCTTTCTCTTTTTTTTTTTTCATTCCGCCTTTTGCTGTTGTTGTGCTTTTGTTGAAGTTTTTTTTTTTTTTCCAAGTTCTCACTGCATTGAAGAATGATGCCTGACCTTTCATTCTTTCTGTTATTGTCACTGGACTCCAGCTTGCTATTAGTGTCTTCCTGTGGGCAGTCAGGAGGCTATATCATGCTTGTTTCAATACAGTAAATGGCTAATTTCAATTATATGACTCAAGTTATGCCCTCAAATGGAGGGCATGTCTGTAAATATCTTTGTAAAGTTATATCGGATTCTTTCTCATTTCTGTTATTCTGAGAAATAGTGCTGAACTCTACTTTTCCCTTCCTCCTTCCCTTCTTCTTCAGCTCATTTACAACTAAACAGAAAGCACTTTCCTGGCAGGCTAGTTAAGGAAAAGGCTGAGATATTGTAGCAAAGAGTCTTACAACATCCTATACATTAAAGACGGAGGCTTATTTCTCTTTCTTAATAGCCTGGGCCATGGAGTCCACAACATAACCCAGGGGTCCAGTAAAACTGAAAGGCTCTGCCATCCTTAAGATATGGTTTTCAAGGTTCTTCTAATTATCACCATTTCTAAGCAGTGGGAAGGAAAAATAGGGGCCAAGTGCAGGGCAAGCATTTCTATATCTTTAGAAAAATGACCAGCCATGCACAGTGGCTCACACCTGTAATCCCAGCACTTTAGGAGGCCAAGGTAGGAGGATTGCTTGAGGCCAGAAGTTCAAGGTCAGCTTTTGGACAACATAACGAGACCCCATCTCAAAAAAAAAAAAAGAAAAGAAAAGAAATATTGAGACCTGGTGGAGTGCAACTGTAGTCCCAGCTAATCAGGAGGCTGAGGTGGGAGGATGACTTGAGCCCAGGAGACTGAGACTACAGTGATCTGTGATCATGCCACTGCACTCCAGTCTGGGTCACAGAGCAAGACCCTGACTCAAAAAATAAAGAAAGAAAAGCTAGAAGTCACACATAATTTCCGCTTATCTTAATGGCAAGAATTTTGCCACATGTTCACAGCTAGCAGCAAGGGAGTTTGAAAATTAAAGTCTCCAGCCAGCATTCATGTGGCCAGGAGGAATGGATTTGTGGGCCCAGGGGAGTGGGTGGATGAGATATTAAATTGAATGCCACATTTCCTGCTTTATCAAATAACTCAGCATTTTAATAACTGATACACAATGGTGACTATCCAGTTGTCCTTTCAAGCCTTACAAGTTGGCCAGGCACAGTGGCTCATGCCTATAATTTCAACACTTTGGGAGGCCAAGGTGGGAGGATCTCTTGAGCCCAGGAGTTTGAGACCAGCCTAGGCAACACAGGGAAACTTCATCACTACAAAAAAAAAAAAAAACAGAAAAATTTAGCTGGGCATGGTGGTGTGCACCTATAGTTCCAGCTACTTGGGAGGCTGAGGTGGGAGGATCACTTGAGCCCAGGAATTCAGGGCCATGATCATGACTCTAGCCTGGGCAACAGAACAAGACTCTGCCTGTTAAAAAAACAAAAAGACTCACAAGTTGTAGTACCAAAATATGCCTGCCATACCCATTTTTTGAGGGATTCTTTTTTTTAGTAAAATAATTAGACATTTATGGGTCAAGGCAGCATCTCAATGGATGTTTTTCTGATTGTAAATGTCTTTTAGCCTTGTATTTATGAGGCTACAATATGTAACATGAAGCTGAAGGCTATGAACCATTTTTTAAAACAATAACTATCATCCAAGCATGAATATTGCCTTTGGTACTACTTAGGACACAAGACGATAACTACAGAAGAATGTGGGCGAAATAATTAAAAACCACAGCAGCAGCAAATCTCTTGGTTATTTTATAAAAACGAAATGATGTTCCCTAAGGGTTAAAGGCTATCTGACAAAGTTCCATTGTGTAATCAAAATGTTTGTGTCTGGGTAGATAAATATAGTATAGATGCTGTAATATTGCAGTTTGTCAGCCATTTTTGATATATGCCTTGTTGATTTCCATAGTCCTGATTCCCAAAACAGCTAAGAATCATAGAATTTTAGAGCTGGATGGGACTGACTGAGGTCTGATTTACTGGAGGGAACCATTGGAGGTTGAAGCATTTCTTGTGATGACTTTTCTCATGTTCTTTATAAAGAGGGTGTCAACCCACTGAACAGTTTAGGGAGAAAAGGAAATGCTGAGTTCCTTTCAGTTTACATTAAAGCTCTACACTCTTGGTTAGGATCTATGGAGCCTTGCTCAGGTGAGATAATTGAGCCCCAGAGAAGACACGTCACTCTATGTTGACCATTCTGATATGTCATCTGGGGCTCTTTCTATGGTACAGTGTAATCCTGATGGAAGGGACTTTCTGCCTGTGACCTATTTATAAAATCCCCCATCATGAGGTAAAATATGCACTTATTCGTAGCTGCCTTTTTCTTTCAATCAACTTTATGTTTGTGGAATTCATTGAACTTTTCCAAATGGTTCTTTCTCCCTGCTATGTAGCATTGCAATGTAGGAATATACCTCAATTTATTTATGCATTCCACTACTGATGAGCCTATGGATAATTTCTAGTTTGTGATTCTTAAATGGGAGGCAACAAAAGCCAGTTACACATAGAAAAGTAGAAATATAAAGCAATACCTTTAAGCACTCGTGTTATTCAAAAAGTTCGCATCTTCTCCTACTGAGGGAATATATTTTAAAACTGACCCTCTCAATGGTAATGTAAGATTCCTTACCTTTACTCGAGAGCTCAGAAAAAGCCTGCTGGATATGGTCTCCAAGGTGTAGTCCTGCCTTACATTTCCAAAGGGAAGGGTAATTTTTGCTGAGTTTACATATTTCATAAATCTGACATTACTGAAAGTAGGATCAATAAGCCCCTTTCCATTTTAAAAGTGCCTGAGATCCCACTGTTCTACAAACTTACCCAAATTAAATAGTAGTATTAAGTTGAAGAGGAAAATGCATTTTGGCATTTTTCAAAGATTTGAATTTCAAAGGTTTATTATTATGCATAACAGAGAGAGGGAAATGACAATGCTATTTAAATAAACTTCACTAGAAACTTCACATTAAATACCTCTTAGACACAGCTTCAAGCACAGAAATTAGGAGTTATTATTCTAGCAATATTTCCTTCCTCGATGTTATTTTGCCAGACCAACAAGGGGCCAGTCACATAGTGGGATTGCTTCGTAGGAATGTAAAACTTCTAGACTAAAATCAAGGTTGGGTAAAAACAAAATATTGCCCCAAACCACATCAGATTTTACCATTGCAATGGTTTTTGCTTCATTGATTTATACATTTAAAGGAGCAAAACTTAATCTGCTATAATGTATTACAATAGAATCCATCTTCTAAACTATGTGATAATTTTATTAACAACTCTATTGACTGACAGTCTTCCTTAAAAATGTTACTGCTGAAAATTCACATAGTGGCTAATAACCACCATTGTTGCCATTTTATATTTGCATTCCATTCCTTGGCTCATTAAATATAATGTAATAAACATATATTAAAAGCCAGAGGAGTTTGACATGAATCCTGCATCTGCCACTAGCTAGCTGAGTGACCTTAGGCAAGTGATTTCATTCTGATACTTAGCTTTTTTCTCTTTGATGTGAGGCTAATGCTATTTGCTGACAGCATAGTGTTGTTATCAGAAAAAAAAATGATAAGTATATTAGAGTAATGCCCATTGTTATAACAACTAGACCCCAGAACTTCATTAGCTTAGTCCAGTAGAATTTAATTTCTTGCTTGCATGAAGTCCAGTGCAGGTGCTCCTGGTCAGCAAGTGGATTTCCTCCATACAGCAGTTCAGGGATCCAGGCTCCTTCTACCTTGAAGTTTTACCACCACCCCTGCACTTTGTTCTTCTCTGCATCCAGCCTACATAAAATCCCTAATCTGGAAGTGAATTATTTCACTTCTGTGCACATGCTATTGGCCAGGATAAGTCACATGGCAGTACCTGGATGCAAAGGGAGCTGGGCACATGTTTGCCCAGTTGTAAGCTGGGCAGCTAATTTCTAGGGTGAGTTCCAGATTACAGAAAGGGGAGCATGTGAAATCCATAAACATTGTGAAGCTTTTGTTGCTGTTGTTGCTGGTGACATTTTAGGTAGTCTTCTTGTTAGCGCCATCATCCTAAACCAGCATTCCCATAATCATATTGATTGAACATGGTGAACATCATCATGTTATCTTAGAAAAGATGACCAAGAAGTGATCACAGTTGGAAATGCAAGTGTTATTAACTCCCAATGCATGGTGTATAGCACTGACAATATTTTGCTGATTTTCCCATCACATAGGCACCAAATTATGCTAAATTATAAATTAGATATATTAAAATTCCAGTGCCAAAATTATTCAAGAATCATAGTAAAAGACCTCTACAGATAAACCCCAAGCTTCTATTGTAGTATATAGTTATCTGAAGGGCCTTCTGTCTTCCAGGACCAGCTATTGTCCAGAGAAGAGCCCAGAGGGGCTGAAGAAAGCCCCCAGGAGACCATGCTAAGGAGACATATCCTAAATGATCATTTCACTGTGCTACCTTTTGTGGTTGTAGGAGCCATAGGCTTTTGGCCCCTAAAGATTCACTGAAAAATCACTGACGTGAGGAAGATTGATTAATAGGAGAAAAGAAATACAAATTTATTTAATGCCTTTAGTAGGGGCATTAAATAAATGCCTTTAGAATGAAGGCATTCTAAAATGCCTTTAGAATGAAGACCCCTCTTCCAATAGGTTACAGAAACTTATATTTTATCTTGAGGTTAAAGAAAGAATGGGAGCTTGTATCCTGGTAAGACCAGTTATGAGAGGTGGGAGAAGAATAATTCTATTGAGGGGCAATAAATGATAGAAAGGGGAATAAATATTAACTTGTAAATAGCCTTCTCTAGAATTTACATAGTCATTGGAGACAATTCATTATGCCCATAAAAAAGGTCTTCTCAGGTGTGGTCACATCTTGGTCTTCTTTTCTGCAACAGATAATGAGATAACAGGGAAAGGAAGAAAAAAACAATTGTTCACCTTGGTGGGTCTGGATCTTAGGCAGATAAAGGAACTTCAGCTTCTTTGGGAGAGACTTTGGGTGGTGGAGGGAGGGAGGCCAGAGGATCCTTGAGGCTTCTTCAGTTCAGCATGTCAAAATGCCATATTTTGGGGTATTAGTTTCTGAGCCCCAGCGTGGTCTAGGAAAATGAATATACCTGGAAACCATACAATCACTTAATTACATCAAAACTGAAATCATTGTTTTAGATTAAGTAATTAAACAATCAAATCAATTTTCATTCCACTCAGAGAAAAAAAACCAAAGCCCTGCAGTGGCAGCTGATGCCCTCAATCACAGCTGCTCAGACTTGAGTGCACATCAGAATCATCTGGAGAGCTTTGTCAAAATGGATGGCTGAGTCTCCCTGCACCACCCCTCAGAGCTACTGAGTCAGTAGGTTTGTGGTGGAACTCCAAAATTTGCATTTTTAAACAAGCTCCCCAGTGATGCTGATGCTGCTGGTCTGCGACCACACTTGAAGAACTACTGCCCTGTGCGGCCTGACTTCCTGTTCCATCTCTGTCTCATGTCCCTCTGTTTGGCCCTTTGCTTACCCTTCTTCAGGTTCACAAGCCTCCTTGCTTTTCCTTGAACCCACCAGGAATATCCACATCTCCAGGCCTTGCACTTGCTGTTGACTCTTACTAGAACTCTTTGGCCAGATACTCTAATGAACGGTATCCTTTCTAACTTCAAATATTTGCTCAAATATCACCTTCTTAATTTAAGGACATCTTCTCATCCCTATCCACACAATATAAAAATTCTTTTCCCCTGCCACAGCATTCGCCATTCCCTTTTCTGCTTTTATTTTTTTCTCACGGGCCTTATCATCTTCTAATATACTACGTAATTTTCCTATTTACTTGTTTATTGTTTTCTCTCCTATCATGAGAGCCCCATAAGGGTGGTAAGGATCTTTGTCTGCCTCCCTATTGCGTCTTCAGTACCATGGACAGTGCCCGGCTTCAGCAGGTGCACAAAAAATACTTGTCAAAGAAAAGATGGAGAGAGCCCTAAGGGAAGAGAGAAAGGAGAGAAAATTAAAATAATCTTAATCTACCACAGATTTTTGCTTGGAATGCAAATCACTTGTCACTTGCCCACAGCCAGTTTACTGCGTAATCCACGTGCAGTGCCTCTGTTTTGCCGTATAATTCTGAAAGCCTTTAGTGCCCTGGTTGCCTTTATCCCCCTCATGCCAGGATTATCCTCAGGTTCTTCTGGGGTTTGAGAGCCTCAGGTGGCAGGCTGTAAGTGAGAATCTGAAAAGATTTTACAATAGAAGTGGGCATCTTCAGATTTGGAAGGGAGTGACAGTCAGAGGCTAGTTATTATTGTTTTTGCTTCTCTTATTGTGACTCTCAGTTCATCTGACTTAGGCTGCACAAACCAAGCCCATTCTTGCCCTTTCCCTTTGGCATACTTGCTGTTATAGAGAAGCAAATATGAAGAGAAGAGTCAGAAGGTGAGACTTATACACCATAGCAGGGGTTTCTATACATGGAAAGTTCAGTTTGAAGCTGACATGTCAACAGGACTACCATTTCTATTTGCTCAGAATGTTAGATTGTTTGGGGACAAGGCAATATCCAATGACAGATTCTAGTGGTTTAAAAGAAAGAAACAAACAAAACCCTAAAGAACTATGATTTTTTATCTAAAATTGTACTACAACTTTGTAGTATTTAACTACTCAGAAGATTCCATTCTTTACTCGTAACAGCAAATTCCCTTCTTATTTGGCCCAGTCTTCTTCAACAGGAAAGTTTCTTATACCCAATACTCTATCGTTTAAAATTCATATAATCAATGACATTAAAAGTGGACAGCTTGACAACTTATTTCTACCATAACTTTAAGAAAACGTACAGCTCTGAGGTTTTCAGACAAGTGGTAGCAGTAACTTATTTTTGGAAATAAGTCGAACACCATTGCAGTTGCCCATATGAAGCCCATAGTCTCACCAGGAGGTGGTGCTAGCATATGACCCTCAGATGGAAAAGAGCAGAATTATGCAAGTGTTTGTGTGACCCATCTGACCAATCTAAATAAAGCAAAATTAAGGTTACATAAGGTTCTCTGGCTTGATGTGAAATTCCTATGCATCAGTTTTTATATTCTTGAAGATTGAAGGAAAGAAAGCAGGCTCTGATGTTGTTAAACTTGACAGTGTTTCCAGTTATGATTTATGGAAGATCTCATTTTGATTGCCAGCTGTGTGTACACATGCACACACACCCACAATACAATTTTCAATCACCTGAGAAGTTTGATAATTAGATGAGAACAACACCTACCACGTATCTCATAGTTACTGTTGCAAAGACTTCTAAAGTCTTTATACCCAATTATATGGGGGGCTTTTTACCTGTTGGTGGGACATGTAGCTCCTTGCAATTGCCTTTTTAAGAGAGGGCAGAAGATCTCAGTGTGATATCTTGAGTGGTGAATTCCAGAAATTACAGCATTCCTCTGCCAACTACCAGAATTAGGGTTTATTCTTAGTGTATCTGGAGCTGGCTCACATGAGCTTGTGAGAGCCAATTGTGCTCATCTTTAAAAATATTTTTTAATTAAAAAAATGTTCTGCAATGTCACATTGGTAGCTTGAAATTAGCTATGTGACAGTATTTGCACCATAAAAGTTGACAGACATTACAATCAGGGTTTGTTTACCCTTTTTCCATAGCCAGTTTTTAACCACTTAGAAGCATGCCACTGTTACTTATTGTGGTCGTTTGCAAACATAATCCTAATTCTCTATGTCTCACAGTAGCCAATCATTGGCAATGTGACATTGAAGCTCCTCCCTTTGAAAAGCAGACTAATTTCCCCACCCATTGAATCTGCGTTGGTCTTATAGCTTTCATTGTTTATAGAAGCTAGTGGAACCAATCTTATGTGCCTTTTCCTAGCCTAGGTCTTAGGAGGTATTTCTTCTGTGCTCTCAGAACCCTGATACCACCACAAGAACAAGCCCATGCTACCCTGCTGAAAGATGAGAGTCCATGTGGCCATCCTAGACCAGTCAGTTTCCAGACAACCCATAGCTGACCACAGAATATATGAATAAACACAGGCAAGACCATAAGAACCACTCAACTGGACCCAGCACAAATTATCAGCCCACAGTATTTGGGGCCAAATAAATGGTTGTCATTTTAAGTCACTAAATGTTGGGATGGTGTGATATGCAGCCAAAGCTAACTGATCAACTAATCTACTCATAATTCCCAGTAAGTTTTAAACAAACAAATAACAGTGATATTTCCAGGATTAAAATATGGGCCAGTATCTGTTTGGGGAAACCCTACTTCGCTAAAAGACTTACTGTGAAAATACTTTATCTAGTTTTCCTAGTCATTACCTTCAGAAAGTAGATGGGTGTATTTGGATATTAGTGTCATTGATGTAAAATATAAAAAAATCTGGAGAATCTGGGACTATCTAGACGATGTTTACAGATGGTGGACCACTTCATTCTCCTCTTAAATAAGTATTGCTTCAGCCACAGGAGCTGCTTTTGTTTCTTGAACAAGGCAAATCATTTTCTCTCTTGAGGCCTTTATCCTTGGTTCCTTTTGCCTGGAATGCTCTGTTTCAAGTTCGCAAGACCTGCCCCTTTTTATCCATAAAGGCTGAACTCAAAGCATTCCCAACCCAATATCTGTATCACGAGTAGGCCTGCAGCTGCTCTCCTACAAGTTACACTTTCATAATGCTGTCCAGTAGAAATATAATGTAAGGTACATCTTTAATTTTAAATACTCCAGTAGTCATATTTTGAAACACAAAAGAGGTAAAACTAATTTTAATTAATCTGTTTTGTTTTATCTAAAATGTTTACCACTTTAATATATAACCAATATAAAAATATTAGTAATACAAGCGATCAAAAAAATAACCTGTACAGTATTATTCATACCAGCTTTATGTGTAATAGCCAAAAACTAGAAACAACCAAACTATCCCTCAATGAGTGAGTGGTTAAACAAAGTATGGTACATGCATACCATGAAATACTACTCACCAATAAAAAAGAATGAACTATTGATACATGGAACAACGTGGATGGAGTGCTAGGGCCTCGTGCTGAGAGGGAAACAGGACCATCCCAGATGGTCATATAATCTATGATTTCATTTATATAACAGTCTCAATATTATATATTTGTGGAGATAGAAAACAGAT
The DNA here is from genome assembly GCF_000001405.40 of Homo sapiens. NCBI lineage: Eukaryota > Metazoa > Chordata > Mammalia > Primates > Hominidae > Homo > Homo sapiens. The sequence continues at coordinate 9,657,181 of NC_000020.11, read as the reverse complement.
TACAGGTTGCCAGGGCTTAGCAATTGTGGGGGTAGTGAGGGAACATGTAACTTTAAAAGTATAGCACATCTTTGTGGGGATAGAACAGTTCTATACACTGATTGTGCTGGTGGTTACAGGAATCACTACATGTGATAAAATGGCATAGACATATATACATACATTGTACCAAAGCCAAAGTCCTGGTCTTGATATGGTACCCTAACTATGTAAGATGTACAAATGGGGGGTACAATTCAAGTAAAGTGTACATTTATGTGTGTACTTTTAAAAACATTATTACAAATTCACAGAAAGTTGTGAAGATAGTATGGAGAGATTTGTGGACTCTTCATCTCTCTTAACATTTTATTTCTTTCCTTTACAATAATAATAATAGCTAACAATTATGGAATGCTCATTCCATGCCAGGCAGTATTTTATGTGCTTAACAAGTATTAACTCATTAAATGTTCACAACATTTGACATAGATATTAATTAGCTGCACTTTATTGAAAAGCTGAGGCATAAAGAGATTAAGTAATTTGCCCCATTAAGTAGAAGAACAAAGGTTTGAACCCAGAAGACTGACTCTAGACTTCACTGTGCTTGGTTTTTCTTCTCCCTTCTACTCTATAAAGTCTCAAACACCACTACCTTGCCTATAGTACTTGGTATACAGAAGTAGTTACTTAATATTTTTGTAGGAGTGATAAAAACATACAAGGAAAAAATCAAAGAGGACTGGGTCCTCTCTCTTCCACTCTGCCCCTGAAAAGCTGTGTGTTTATCTGGGTTCCTTAGAAGCATTTGGGATGCATTCCTGTCACATGCTGCTGATCTCACCCTGTGTGCTGTCTGCTTGTTAGAAGCCACTCTGCTTGAACCATGAATTGTCTCTATCAAGGGAAATATTTTGTCTCAGTGACTATTCATTCAACAAATATTACTGCTCATCTACTATGTGCCAGGCACAGATAAGATCAAAATGAAATTAAGGGGCTTACGGCTTGCTAAGGAAGACCAACTTTGATTTCCAACAATGTTGATAGGAAAGGAAAGTATCTAGGCTTTCTGAAAGCCAACTTGCTAGCATTTAAAAAAGTTTTAAACATGCTTGCTCTTATGGGATGAATTCTGTCCACCTCCCAAGTTCATATATTGAAATCCTAACCTCCAATGCCTCCAAATGTGACTGAATTTGGGAGGTAGGGACTTTAAAGAGATGATTAAATTAAAATGAGGTCATTAGTTTGGCCCCTGATCTAATATGGCCCTTGTCCTTATAAGAAAAGGAAACTTGGACACAGTCATATGTAGGGGGAAGAAGTCATCTACAAGCCAGGGAGAGAAGTCTCGGAAGAAACCAACCCTCCCAACACCTTGATCTTGGACTTCCAGCCTCCAGAAGTGAGAATAAAATTTATCTTGCTTAAGCCACCCAATCTGTGTTACTTTGTTTTGGCAGCCCTAGCAAACTAATACATATGCCTTCCCTCCATTATTTCCACATCTGACAATCTATGCCACAGATGTGCTCGTATTTATGCAGAATGATAGATACATCTAGCAGAGTTCTCACAGGAATGATGTTTTTAAGAGCCCCAGAACGTAAATGTTAATCAATAAAAGAATCAATAGATGAATTATAGTACATTCCATTTTATAAAATGCTATGGAGACTTTAGAAGCAAGTGATATGTGTGCTGATATGGAAAGATAGCCAAGGTTTGCTTTTTTATTTTTTTTTAACATAACACCCCAAATAGGCTAAATGACTCAAAAAAAAAAGCAAGTCCCACACAATGTACTTAGAGTGGTCTTATGTTTATGTATAAAAAATCAGGATGTGTGCAGGGATAACACAAACAAATAGAAAATGGTCTGGATTTGAAACTTTGTGATAGGAACAAAGTAGTTCCCTTTTAGCTTTTGTTTTGTATGCTTCTTTTTGTTAGAACCATCCACAACTGTGAGCTGGGATAAGGGGTTTGGATTTGTGTGTAATGACAATGAGAAGTCATAGAAAAAGTTTAGGAGAGAGAGCATAATACAGACATACATTTTAGAAACATTGGTCTGCCTACAGGGTGGTGAACTGCTTGGATGAGTAAGTCTAGTGGAAGGGAAACTGAGCTAGATAACTTTGTAATAGCCCAAGAGAGAAATGATGGTGGCGTGGACAGGGTAGACAGAATGTGTTCATGCATGTCTGTAATTTGAAATAATTTCTGTAGCCCAATAGACAAGGAACTGTGGGAACAAGTAAGAAAAAAAGTATTCTGGGGTCTAAAGTGGCCTCCCTAAGGAAGTTCCATTTGATCTGAGACCAGAAAAGAGACTTTGGGTGAGGGTCAAGATGAGAGGGTGGAGACAGGCAGGGGAGGGAGAAGTTAGAGGGGATGAGGGGCTTTAAGGTAATGGGAGTGACTAAGGATGGTAAGGCTTAATGAAAGGGAGAAGGAATTTATACAGTTAGAGAGGTACCAAGGGGTGGTCCCCAGGAGCCTTGTAAGCTCTGATAAGGAGTTTGGTTTTGTTTTTAAGGTCGGTGAGAAGTCATAGAAAAGGTCTAAGAGAGAAAGAGAATGATACAGACTTATATTTTTCAAAAGATTTGTCTGCCTACAGGGTGGAAAACTGCTTGGGAGGGGCAAGTTTAGTTGAAGGGAAACTGAGCTAGATAATTTTATAGTAGCCTGAGAGAGAAATGATGCTGACATGGAGAGAGCAGTGACAATGGGTGTGGTAGACATCTCCAGCAAGACGTCATCATCCTCATCCCTGAAATCTGTAAGGGGAATTAAGGTTGCTAATAAGATAACTTTAAAATAGGGAGATTATCCAGGCTGGTCCAATATAATACAAGCATCCTTAAAAGTAGAAGAGAAAGACAAAATAAGAGAGTCAGAGGAAAATGGGAAAGATGGGCCGGGCACGGTGGCTCACGCCTATAATCCCAGCACTTTGGGAGGCTGAGGCAGGCAGATCACCTGAGGTCAGGAGTTTGAGAACAGCCTGGCCAACATGGAAAACCCCATCTCTACTAAAAATATAAAAATTAGCTGGGCATCGTGGTGCATGCCTGTAATCCCAGCCACTCAGGTGGCTGAGGCCAGAGAATCGCTTGAACCCAGGAGGCAGAGGTTGCAGTGAGCCAAGATCATGAAGATCACCAAGATCACACTACAGCACTCCAGCCTGGGGGGCAGCACGTGACCCTGTCAAAAAAAAAAAAAAGAGAAGAAAAGAAAAATAAAAAGAAAGTGGGAAAGATGGAATAACAGTCAGAGAGAGATGCAGTATCAGCCAAGGAATACAAGTGACTTCTAGAAGCTGGAAGAGACAAGGAAATGTATTCTGCTCTAGAGACTCCAGAAAGGGACATACCCCTGCCAATGCCTTGATTTTTACCAGGTGAGACTCATGTTATACTTCCAACCTCCAGAACCGTAAGAAAATACATTGCATTATCTAAGCTGCTAAGTTTGTGGAAATTTGTTACAGCAACTTTAGGAAACTAATACAGTGGGAATTCAGAGAGAGGTATAGATGTAGTAGACATCTGGGGAGCAGAATGGATAGGAATTGATGATGATTGAATGTGCAGGATGATGCAGAAGAGAAAGGCAAAGTGAACTCTCAGAACTGGCTTCCACAATTTAATGCAATGGGATGCTATCTATATAAGGATTGAGATATGTAGGAAAGAAACAGAGCAAGTAGGAGATCATGAGTTAAGTTTTGGAGATGCTGAGTGTCAAAAATGAGAATAATCCAAGAGGAGCTTTGGAAGCATAGACACAGAGATTAAGAGAGAGGTTTGGGCTCTGTCTCCATATTTGGGCTCATTGGCATAAAGGAGAAGTAAACTTATAGTAAAGAATGAAACCATGGTGAAGTAGTGGCTTTTGATTGTTATATTTAACACACTTTCCATGCAGTTTTTCTGAGTACTTACTACATTGATGTTACTCTAAAACCCATGATTTTCTCTTTGCTATTATCTCAATATTATGTTGTCATTCTGCCAATGTGGAAATGAATAAATTTAAATATGTTTTCCTTAAAGTGTGCCTTTTGTCAATACTGGATATTGGATATTGCAGAAAGTTGAGAGGGATGAGTTGAAGCCAGGGTGAGGAGTTGAAGCGAGGAGTTAGAGCAGAAAGGTCTGATGATGTTGAGGGTCTAAAAAGTGTGCAGTTCAGATGGATGTATATGCTAAATCCAACTGTGGGCACAGATTTCAGAATCAGGGCAGAATCAGAAAGCTTAGATAAGAAGAAACCAGCAGACAGGTAAGATCCAAACATCATGATCAGAGGGAAGGGTCTAAGACATTCACAGAAGTAGAGAAGGACAAATAAGAAACAAAGATTCAGGTATGAAGTCGGGGTTTACATCCCAGTGGTAGAAATTAGAAGCCAGAATCAGATCCACAAAAGAAGAAAAGGGGTTACAGCTGTTTCTACACCTGTTGAGAAGGCAAGTGTGTTTGAATTATGATCCAGGTCAAAAAAACAGGCCCAGGTCACAAAGCAACTGGATAATGAGCATCTGTGCAATAGAAATGGGGACCAGGTACAAGGATAATCATTGTATTCACCCAACAGGCTTTGATACAGTTTCTCCTGGAGTGGGAAGCACCCAGTGGAACATAGTGACTGTCCAATGGGTCCTATTAGGAGACACTGTAGTAGATGAATCCAAGGAAAGGAAACTATGTCATTTATAACAACTTTGACACATAATGATTTTTTTTTAGAAAACAACTTTATTTTTAGATTATATGATGAACCCATCCCAAGATTTTTAGATTTTCCTATGGATCCCAAATATGTAATCTATGTTTCATTTTCCCTAAAATCAGCATAGCTAAAAGACTGGAGAATCTTTTGTTCTTGATTCTGAGGCTATAATAAATGTATATCTGAGCAATGACATCTCAGAAAGGGGATGGTGTGGTTGGTGCCATCCCCTCTGTAATGTGATTTCTGAAACAGTCACCTTTCTCCCGTAAGTGAAGGACCAGTCATTAAACCTAAATTATATGAACACAGGTAGGTATTTCTAAAGTACTTAAATTTCCATTATTACATTTACCAAGTTCTGAAAAATAGATCTGAGGCTAAGAAAAGAAAAATCTCTCTTCGTGAGGGAGTCAATAAGAAAAGACTCACTCTTAAGAGGTACGTTAAAGTCACCATTTTAAAATTCTGTGGTCTTATTCTTTCTACCATGTCTCTAGCTGGCTGAATGACTGGAAACCTTAATAGTTCAGTAATTATATTAACTCTTCACTTTATTAGACCAACACAGTTTGACATATTTCTTTCTTAATCCCAAATGTTATATTACAATTTGAGATTTTGAGGGGGGATATGGACAAAAGGATTTTCTAATAAGTGACCTCCTGCTCTGCCTGCCCCACCCCATCCTGTGCGTGCCCCACCCCGTCTTCAGTATGGCTTCTGCCTGCCAACTACTTCCTCCCAGGCAATCAAAGCCCCTGGGGCATATCCATGTCATTATCTTTTATTACTATTATTATTATGAAATATACACAACAAAAAATTTACCATTTTAACCAATTTTTATTGTACTGTTCAGTAGCATTAAATACATTCACACTTTCGTGTGACCATCACCACCATCCATGTCATTAACCTTAAAATGTTGCCATGGGTGGGACACAGGACTGAGCCATGAGTCATTGTTTTGAAAAGGTTGAAGAATGCTGGAACCTTCTCAATTTGTAATAGGGGTCAAGTAGCTGCTCCTCTACCTCTGCGTGTCCACCTGATGTGATGAGAGATGGCACTTCAGCCACTGATTGGACCTGGCTTATAGTAGAGTTCCTACTCCATTCCCTAAAATCCTAATTTGGATTGCACTTGCTAGGAGCCAGACACAGATCTAAGCCACTTTTCATGTCTTAGTTCACTGAATGTTCACAACAACCCACTGAGGGGGAGAATATTATTATTCCCATTTATCATAGGATACTGAGGCAAAAGGAGGCAAAGCCAGTTGCCCAAGAATGCAGAACTGATAAATGTAGCAGGACTCAGATTCAGATCCAGGAAGTCCGGGTCCCTGCTTTCAACCAGAACCCTAAATTAATGAGAAAATGGGCTGCCTGAGGAGGCAATAAGATTGTTTGATAAAATTCTTTTGCCGTTACCCTTTAGATAATTTTGTAAAGAAAGTAATTTCACAGAATGCCCATCTTGCTTTTTTGAACACCTCAAGCTTTATGCCCAAGAGAAAAATAAGGCAACAAAAATATTTTTAAAATAGTTATAAAGGAATACATGCAAGAAACGGGGGTCTCCATATGGCTAATGAAGACTTTGGCCCCTTTTAATGGGTGGTGGCTTCTTGTGGATATTCCCTAGTCCCTAGGCATTGCTGGTGAGTCCTGGGAAGTGGGGACCATAAGCCCCACAAGTATGCTACATGCCAGTTAGAGTCCTGGCGGGAAGCAGAAGGTGCACTCCAGAAGGGTTTACCTAGCACATATAAGCAAGGTTCTGAGAACCAATAAAAAATGTAGGAATACCCACAAACTAAAAACTGCAGGAAGATGTCACATCTAGCCCCACAGGGACTGAAAACTGGAGGGAAAACTGGAGGGAAAAGGGAATGGCAACAGAAGCTTGTAAATATTGGGGAATTTTGGCAAGAAAACCAGAGAAATAAGTTTAGCAAGAAAACAAGGGAATTTTGCAAAGAAAACCAGGGTAATAAATACCCAACCTCTTTCTCCACCTACAAATTGCCTGTAATTGGTCAAATCCCCCTAGAAACCAAAGACAAGGAAGTTCTAGTGACACAGTCATATAAATCAACTTAAAGGCACAGAGAAGAGAAGAGACTGAATCTGGGTCTGGGGAGAGAGTTGTAGTGTATCAATTCAGAAGAACCAGCAAAGTCTCCCTTGCAAGCAGATATTATGAGCAGTATTAACCACTCCCTTGTCTATCATGGAAGCAACATTCAGATCATCCAGTCCCTTGTAGGGCTTTCTTCTAATACCTTCTCATTGAGTTATCCAAACAATTACAGGAGCTATGCATATCTGGAGTTAACTCCATGTAGAATGGAGGACTCTCCATCTGAGAGAGGCTGCCAGGGCTACACAGCATGCTGCACCATGGGGGCTGGACTAGTATTCAAGTCAGCAGAGCATGGACCAGTTTGTACTCAAAATGTGGACTGCCGGGTTTTGAATTCCATTTCAGTTTCTTCCTACTTGAATGAACTTGGGCACATTTTTTTTTAACTCCTGTAGGCCTCAGTTTCCTTATCTGTGTAGCAGAAATAATAATAGTCCTTACAATATGAATTACTGTGAACAGAATATGTGAATTGGTACATATAGAGCAGTGTCTGACACACAGTTCATCCTAGATGAATATTATTTAAGTAGCATCTTCTGGTCCCTAATGAGGTGCTGCGCCATCACCCCAACCAGCATGACTCGAATAGTACCAGGTGCTGCTGCATTTGCCTGTTATTTCTTCTTTGACTCCCTACTCCCTATGCCTGTTCGTAGAGACCTGAATTGGGAGATGCCTGCATGTTGGAGCTTTTAGACTAGGCATATGCTTAAGGCAGGGCAACCCACTAAGTTAGGGACAAAGCTGGGCTGTCCCTGAGAACAGGTTGAGGGCTGAGATAACCATGAAGATGTCAGAGCAGAAATGGGGTATTAGAGTCTGGGGATCTGGATTTCCTTCAGTCTCTTCTATGACTTCTAAGACTTATATTTCATAGAAGAACATAGGGTGACTGAAACCATCCATCAAAGCAGTGTTTGCTGTGAGTTTTGCAGTAAACTTTCAGAAACAAGGATTCTGGGATCTGTTTACTATCCTTCTCTAGGAACTAAACTAATATTAGCATAATAAAGACCTTGAAATGTCCCACAAAGGGACCTTATGTAATTCATTTTTTCCCAAACTTATTTAGCTAAGGAGCCAACTTGGTTAATGCTGAATCAAACTGCCAGGTGAATGTTCACATACTGAAACAAATAATAAAGTGTTTAATAATGAAACAAAGAAATGAAGAAATATTTCAAATTAATTCTTGAATTGCCTACTTCTAAACCTATGTAACTTTCTGTACTGAAACATACCTACACAGCTGTCATGAATTAGGTCTGCTGGACACTGAGGAGTGGAAGGAGGTATGCTGTGCCCTTGGTTTACATGGGTGCTGAGCAGTAGGGATCTTTTCTTCTGTAGGAGAGGCTGCTCAGCTTCACCTGCTCAGTGACACAGTTTGTAATTTCTCAGAGAGGGCCTTTATGGAGAGACATGACAGGACCCAAGAAACCTCACCATCCACACCAACTGGGTTCCCTAAGAAAGGTAGGATGGTGTAACTGGCAGAGAAGGTAAATACAGGGCAGCCATACATTGCTCTCACAAGTGATTAAAAGCTTGTGTTTTGAGATTCTAAATCTCCAGTTTTACAAGTTTCTAACCTGGACTCTGAGCATCTGTTTCCTCTTCTATGAAAGGGCGATGATAATAACACCTCCTCTGCAGAAAAGAGTTAGTCTAGTAGGCTTCAGGATGCATATCCTAGAAAAAAAGCCTATTTGCAAGGTTGGCCCTTGGCTGGCATCTGGGAACTTGGATTTTAGCAAGTTCCTCACCATTCCCTGATAAAGAATGGCTTGCTGTGCCTAAACTGTTTATGCAAAAAAAAAAAAAGAGGTTTATGTTCAACCCCTGTTTTCCTCCTGGAATTTAAATATGGACTAAGCAAGGGGTGCCTATGTGACCAGTACAAAATAAAATCCTCAGGCCCTTCATCTCTGATGGGCTTCCCCAGTAGATGGCTTTTTACATGTGTTGTTACAATCAGTCCTGGGGGAATTAACCACAACCCGTGTGAGTTCACTAGGAGAAGACCTCTGAAAGCCTGCACCTGTATTCTCTGGACTTGGCCCCATGCACCTTTTCCCACTGCTAATTTTGTTTTGTATCCTCTCATGGTAATAAATCACAGCCACGAGTATGACTGTATGCAGAGTCCTATGAGTTCTCCTCATGAATCATCAAGCCTGGGGGTGGTCTTTGGGACCCCTGACAGAGGGCTACCATGAATGTGGGATGAGACGCATTGAACTTTTAGTGCCCTAGTAGGTAGAGACTGAGCATGAGCACATCAGAGAGAAGAAATATTCTGCCAAGAAGATCTTCACTTCCCTACTAGGCGTCCATCTGTCCCATGGTGCTAAAAGGCACTAGGACCCTGTCTCTGTCTTTCAGCTGAGTGTGGGCCTCCTCCTTGCTAACAGAGTAGTAGCCACTGCTGATAGAATGTCACAATAAATCTTGGAGATTTTGTCTCTGCACCTGTGAACTTCCCAGGAATATTGCTTCAGGATTTAGAGCTGTTTTGTGTTTTCCTTTTAAGTTGTTCCTCTGTAACTCTTTAACTCAAACTTACTGGAGAGGTAGAACTGCATGTTTGACCATTAAAATTATAGTTGTGCTGTATCACACAATGCAGTGTAGGTAGATTAATTCAGCTGTGGATTTCCTCTCCGCAACTCTCTTATTTAAAAACAGAAACAGTATTAGTTCATTGATATCTTCTTTTCAATGCTCTCATTGAGTGGCATAGCAACCACTGGGAAATTCACAATGAGAGAGGGAATAATAAGACATTTCTATTCTGCCTCTAAAAATATTTGGCCTAGCATTTTCAGTGCTTGTTCAGGTATGAATACAGGCCAAATAACTCTTCTCAAATGATGTTTCTGAAATAATTTCCATCTTGCATTTTTAAAAAATGGTCATAGCTAAAATTTCTTGAACTGTCAAGCGGACTCAGCCAACAAATGGCCAAATTATATTTTCAAATGTATTTTATGCTCACTAAATAATTTAGAGAGATGGTGTATAGAGCTAATTATTGGTGTAATTTCCTGCCACTGAAAACATTCCAGGCCTTCAACCAGATAGTAATATCACAATCAAAACTCCTTTGAGTTAGCACTCAATTGTGTAACAGCTAATATAGTTACCCAGATTGGATGTTGTTACTTGAAACTTTGAAGCAGCTAAAATAGAAACCTAAAAATGGCAAGCATCTGAAGATGCAAGGTAGAGGATGATAATCAGGGTTTTTGTTATGTTAGCTCTTTCTGTGTAGCATGGTTTAAAGCAAAAAAACATTTATTTGTGTCCTGATTCTGTAAGTGATAATTTTAAGTTCAGTTCAACTGTGTAGTTCTGCTGGTTTTGACTAGGCTCACTCATGTGGATAGCTGCTGGTCAGCTGGGCAGCTCTGCTTCTCAGGGTCGACTAGTTGCTGGCTGGGGAGACAGGTAACTGGGATACACAGCCCCTCATCTTCCAGCAGGATAGGCTGGCTTTGTTTTCATGCTGACTGCTGTTTCTAAGGACAGCAAGAGGGCAGACAAGCCACAGTGTGCAGGCACAGTGCGTATTGGTGTCATATTTTCTCTTGTCTCACTGGCCATAGCAAATTATATATCCAAGTCCAGAGTCAGTGTGGGAGAGTCCTCCTTGAAGGCATGGATACCAGGAAGAATGAAACATTGTGGGCCATCTCTGCAGCAGTCTATGACAGCAGGGTTCCTTTACTTCTTGACACTTTGGTTTGGGTGTGCCCAAGCGTTTAAGGTCAGCTGACTTGTATTTATTGACCTACTTGTAGTAAAGTACTTACAGAATTGTTTTAAGTTATAACTATATTTTCCAGGAAAGGTAATATATCAAGGTAGTTGAAGTCCTTATACTCTTTCATCCGTTTTCATTACAGCCCTTCCAAATTAGTCTGAAGTAACAACCAGAATGAATGCGATGGGTTTTGACGGAGTCCAGGGAGTGAAGGCTGTGAATGGTCTGAGCATTGCTGAGAGAATATTTATGTAGGTAGAGGATGGAAAAGGAACTTGAGAAAACTGGAAGGCATGGGAAGACCCTGCTTACCACACAGGGACAAGTGTTTAAAAGAAGTAACAGTTTTAACAGAGGATGAAGGGAAGTAAAGAAGGGAGAGTGAGAGAACATGGAGCTCCAACCGCACATGCTATTTACTGAATAAATGTGCTGTTCAGGGTGATTTTAGTCCATCAACAAATATTTTGTGAGCCCTACTATAGGCCAGGCAAACAGTAATGAAAAAGCAGGAAGCATCCTTTCCCTCATGGATCTTACATTCTAGTAGTTAAAACAGACACTGAGCACACCATTATATGTAATTAATTAATCGCAAGTGGATAAATGCTGTGAAGAATATATACATAGAAGTGTAGGAAGATAGGCTGGGCGCAGTGGCTCATGCCTGTAATCCCAGCACTTTGGGAGGCCGAGGCGGGCGGATCACGAGGTCAGGAGATGGAGACCATCCTGGCTAACACGGTGAAACCCCATCTCTACTAAAAATACAGAAAAATTAGCTTGGGCATGGTGGAGGGCACCTGTAGTCCCAGCTACTCGGGAGGCTGAGGCAGGAGAATGGTGTGAACCCGGGAGGCAGAGCTTGCAGTGAGCTGAGATTGCACCACTGCGCTCCAGCCTGGGCAACAGAGCGATACTCTGTCTCAAAAAAAAAAAAAAGAAGTGTAGGAATATATGACCTACCTATTCCAGTCCAAGGGCTGAGATAAGTCTTCCTCAACAAATCAACATGTAGGCCAAAACATCATCTTTCACAATGCCCATGCAGTGTTGTAAGGATTCCCAAAATGATGATTGTTCTATTCACAGATGAGTAGATGCAGAGAGGAAAAAAGCAATTATCTGGGATCACAGTGAATAGGTGACCTAGCTGGGATGCAAACCCAGGTTACCTTATGTGTTTTCAACATCATAAAGCATACTTTGCCTATTTTACATATTTTCTAGAGGTATTCTGGTCACTGGCTATGTTTCACCTAGGTAAACTATGTTGTTTCAAACAGGTAAAGTACACTGTAAAAAATTGTAAATATAATATACAGTGAAAAGTGAGTCTTCCTCCCTGCCTTCTTCCCCTGGTACCCTTCTCTGCAGGTAATATCAGTCAACTTTCTTGTATATTTGTCCAGAGGTGTATAATTAATACTTGAAGTAATTACTTTGTGACAGATGTTTTTCCAAGTGCTTTGTAAATATTTACTTGTTTGATCCTTTATGTGGTGACTATCATTATCAACCCATTTTTCATGTATGCATATATTTTATTCCCCACAAATGTTTTGGATTTTAACTACATACCAAACTTTGAAATGTTTCTCCCTGTGTACTGGTCAGCTTTAATAATGCTATATAACAAACAAGGCCAAAATCTCAGTGGCTTCATTACATACATTTATTTCTCATTTGCGAGTCAGCCGTGGCTCAATAATATCTCAGTTGAGCTTGCCTGGTCTTGGCTTCAGACTGGAGGTTGGGCTTGTGTCTGCCCTCATGCATCTCTCCTTCCAAGACCTAGGCTGAGGAAGTGTCATCTCCCTGAGAGAGAGATCTTTGTGACAAGTGACAGGAGCACAAGGAAAAAGTGGAAACATACAATGCCTTCAAAAACTTCTGCCCTGAACTTGCCAACTGTCTCTTCCATCCATAGTCAAAGCAGGTCACATGGCCAAATCAAAGTCAATGGGGCAGGGAACTATCATCCACATGGCAAGTTTAAGGAGGGAACAAAAAAAAATTGAATAAAATTATCTAATTTACACACCCTGAAAACTCAACTTTTATCTTTTGCAGCTGGGATCTAGAGGAATAACTGAAAAGATGTTGCCCTGAGTGAATTAACAATAGCTTTCTCCTGGTCTTCTGCTGGCAAGATATAAATGGCTGCCTCTTTTCCATTTATATTTCCCAGGTTTTGGCATCATGTTTGGGAAGAAAAAGAAAAAGATTGAAATATCTGGCCCGTCCAACTTTGAACACAGGGTTCATACTGGGTTTGATCCACAAGAGCAGAAGTTTACCGGCCTTCCCCAGCAGTGGCACAGCCTGTTAGCAGATACGGCCAACAGGCCAAAGCCTATGGTGGACCCTTCATGCATCACACCCATCCAGCTGGCTCCTATGAAGGTATGGTGAGGGCTCCATCTTTGGCTGGGCTTAAGAATCATGCTCTTATTTAATGCACTGCATCAGCTTTATAAGCAAGCTATAAAATGCCTAAACCACATATTTTTTAACATTCACAGATTATTCACAATTATTCTTTCATGATTATAATTTTCACCATTTCTTATAAATTGCAGCCCATGAAAGGGAACTTTGGCTTTAGATGTGATTTTTGAATAATCAGACACATAAAACACGATCACAAAATAGGACATTTTTATTTCGACTTTAAATGGTGTTTTTGTTAGACTTTATACTGAAGCATATTATCCATCCACTCTGGTTAATATTAGCAATAGCCTCTGACCAACATTAGACCACCTTTTGTTGTTTTCCATTTGCTCTCAAAATATTTAAACTTTTCTTTCATATAAAATTTACTACCAATAGATTTTAATAATGGTATTGATAAATATATATACATATGCATATTTAGGCATATACATGTATATGTTTATATAATCAAATAAATATGTGTGTATATATACACACAAACATATACGCACATATTTATTTGTCTTTATAGCTTTCAAATTTGTCTTTATAGCCTAAAAGAGAGCTATTTCAAATAAAAGCAAGTAATTTGAGTCCTAGAATCAGATATAATTTATCTTAAATATGTAACTAGGAAATGTTTGGCAATAAATGCTCATAAAAGTAATTACATGTAAGCAGAAAGCAGACCCAAAAAGATTTCAGTTATGCCAAGTTACTACAAAGAAAATCCAGGGATTGCAGTTTTCTTCTGCTCTTCAGAATGATAAGAATTCTATAGACTAGCAGGCAATTGCCCAAAAGTTCTCTATGGGAGTTAAACATCATGGAAACTTATAATCATATTATCCAGTGGATCATTCCAGAGTTTCATAATCTACACAAAGCTTGAAGTTCAGATTCTTTCCTTGTTCATTATATTAGTAGACATCTGTGCTATTTGAATATGTTATTCTGTGTTAACATGAATACTGCATAAACTGTATTTAAATAATATGCAGAACAAAACTGAATACATTTTTAAAGGGATGCAAAGAAAGAGAACAGCTGATACATTATGGGAAATGCTTATGAAATATCACCTGACCTGACTAAATTAGAACTGTGATTCCATTGTTCATGCACAGTGCTGGTCATTCTATTCTGGTATTGAACATATGAGTCTGTTCTGCCCAAAGATCAATACAGAGTCTTATAATTCTGCATTTTGTGAGTTTGATTTTCTGGTAGAATTTCAAAACTTTTCAAACCAACTAAAATGTTAAGTACATACACACACAAAAAAATGGATATTTGAGAAGATAAAGCTTTGGGAACAAAAGGAGGCTGTCATTTTAAACAGATATCAATTGATATTTATTAGAAACTGACTAACCAACTCTACTAGTTTGCATGTGGAAATATCCTACTATTGAACATAATTTTCTCCCTAAGAGAAGGCTAGCACTTCACTAATGATCATATAATAAGGTGGACCATATCTTTAAAAAGTTGGGATTAGAAAAAAATCTGCTTGTTTAGTTTCATTATTTTTCTTATATCCCAAGTTTTTACAAAACCCAGAAAATGCAATGAGCAGTGTGCCCTGAAAAGTCTTCTACTATTTATCACCATGGGGAAAGAAAAATTCTCACATGAAACTAAGACTTATTTTCTTACCCTGGAGTATCATTATCATTATCATTGGATAAGAAACATTCTAGATGGAAGCAGAGTCTTAAAGAAACATTCTCACACCAGTTAGAATGGTGATCATTAAAAAGTCAGGAAACAACAGGTGCTGGAGAGGATGTGGAGAAATAGGAACACTTTCACATTGTTGGTGGGACTGTAAACGAGTTCAACCATTGTGGAAGTCAGTGTGGCGATTCCTCAGGGATCTAGAACTAGAAATACCATTTGACCCAGCCATCCCATTACTGGGTATATACCCAAAGTGAGAGGTGACAGCATGCTGGCAGTCCTCAGAGCCCTCGCTTGCTCTCGGCACCTCCCCTGCCTGGGCTCCCACTTTGGTGGCATTTGAGGAGCCCTTCAGCCCCCCCGCTGCACTGTGGGAGCCCCTTTCTGGGCTGGCCAAGGCTGGAGCCCACTCCCTCAGCTTGCAGGGAGGTGTGGAGGGAGAGGCACAAGTGGGAACCGGGGCTGCATGCGGTGCTTGCGGGCCAGCTGGAGTTCCGGGTGGGCGTGGGCTTGGTGGGCCCCGCACTCGGAGCACCCAGCCAGCCCTGCTGGCCCCGGGCAATGGGGAACTTAGCACCTGGGCCAGTGGCTGCGGAGGGTGTACTGAGTCCCCCAGCAGTGCCGGCCCACCGGCGCTGTGCTCGATTTCTCGCCGGGCCTTAGCTGCCTTCCCACGGGGCAGGGCTTGGGACCTGCAGCCCGCCATGCCTGAGCCTCCCACCCACTCCATGGGCTCCTGTGCGGCCGAGCCTCCCTGACGAGCACCACCCCCTGCTCCACAGCGCCCAGTCCCATCGACCACCCAAGGGCTGAGGAATGTGAGCGCACCGCACAGGACTGGCAGGCAGCTCCACCTGCAGCCCCGGTGCGGGATCCACTAGGTGAAGCCAGCTGGGCTCCTGAGTCTGGTGGGGACGTGGAGAGTCTTTCTGTCTAGCTCAGGGATTGTAAATACACCAATCGGCACTCTGTATCTAGCTCAAGGTTTGTAAACACACCAATCAGCACCCTGTGTTTAGCTCAAGGTTTGTGAGTGCACCAGTCGACACTCTGTATCTAGCTGCTCTGGTGGGGCCTTGGAGAACCTTTATGTCTAGCTCAGGGATTGTAAATACACCAATCGGCACTCTGTATCTAGCTCAAGGTTTGTAAACACACCAATCAGCACCCTGTGTTTAGCTCAAGGTTTGTGGGTGCACCAATCGACACTCTGTATCTAGCTGCTCTGGTGGGGCCTTGGAGAACCTGTGTGTCGAAACTCTGTATCTAACTAATCTGATGGGGAGGTGGAGAACCTTTGTATCTAGCTCAGGGATTGTAAACGCACCAATCAGCACCCTGACAAAACAGGCCACTGGGCTCTACCAATCAGCAGGATGTGGGTGGGGCCAGATAAAAGAATAAAAGCAGGCTGCCCGAGCCAGCATTGGCAGCCCACTGGGGTCCACTTCCACACTGTGGAAGCTTTGTTCTTTCGCTCTTTGCAATAAATCTTGCTACTGCTCACTCTTCGGGGCCACACTGCTTATATGAGCTGTAACACTCACCGTGAAGATCTGCAGCTTCACTCCTGAGCCCAGCGAGACCACGAGCCCACCAGGAGGAACGAACAACTCCAGACGCGCTGTCTTAAGAGCTGTAACACTCACCGTGAAGGTCTGCAGCTTCACTCCTGAGCCAGCGAGACCACGAACACACCAGAAGGAAGAAATTCTGAACACATCTGAACATCAGAAGAGACAGACTCCAGACGTGCCACTTTAAGAGCTGTAACACTCACCGCGAGGGTCCGCGGCTTCATTCTTGAAGTCAGTGAGACCAAGAACCCACCAATTCTGGACACAAAAGGATTATAAAACATGCTGCTATAAACACACAAGCACACGTATGTTTATTGCGGCACTATTCACAATAGCAAAGACTTGAAACCAACCCAAATGTCCAACAATGATAGACTGGATCAAGAAAATGTTGCACATATATACCATGGAATACTATGCAGCCATAAAAAATGATGAGTTCATGTCCTTTGTAGGGACATGGATGAAGCTGGAAACCATCATTCTCAGCAAACTATCACAAGGACAAAAAACCAAACACCGAATGTTCTCACTCATAGGTGGGAAGTGAACAATAAGAACACATGGACACAGGAAGGGGAACATCACACACCAGGGACTGTTGTGGGGTGGGGTGGGGGGAGGGGGGAGGGATAGCATTAGGAGATACACCTAATGCTAAATGATGAGTTAATGGGTGCAGCACACCAACATGGCACATGTATATATATGTAACAAACCTGCATGTTGTGCACATGTACCCTAAAACTTAAAGTATAATAAAAAAAAATAATAAACATTCTAGCTGAAGACCCAGGACATGTGCCGTCTTGTTAGAGTGTATGCATTATTTGGTTAGGACAAAGTATCATTTACTTCACCACGGTTTTTCACTTGTCCACAACCTAGCAGGTCCTGTTTGAGAGCAAAGAAAGAGGCTTTCATCTTAGTGGTAACACATCATGTTCTGTGGATGTGGGACTTAGCAGAACCTTCTACCTAATTTCTTCCATTTCCTAGGTGGGCTGGCTTGTTATCCTTTCCTCTCTGACAATCAGTCCCACTGAGAGTTGGAGCAAGATTTCCTCACTTCTAAGCTGCTAAACCTTGTGCTTCTCTTACTCACTAGTATGGGCTTTCCAGCCTTTGTGCCAAATGCATGAGCATTCAGTCCATATGAAATGAAAAGACTAAAATATTAGTTATAGACACTTAAATGTTAACTGGGTGATGACTGGAAGATACATCTCAAGTATAGAGCAGGTTCTGGATTTCTGCAAATGAGACTTGAGGCACAATTGTGCCGCTGAGGGAAAAAAATAAAATAAAAACAGACAAGGAGTGACAAAAACAAGATCCAGCTAGGTTGGATCTCACCCATAAAGAGTAAAGTTGATCAAATCCATTTAACTGAAGGACACCCAAAAAATCTAGTACCTCATACTAACACTAAACTCCCATAAAGCAAATCCTATCTTTCTCCAAATATGAGTGTAAATATGTCTCCACATATGAGTTCAGTTAACATCACTGGCAGACAGTAGACAATATTGGTGGTCAAACAGAATCCTGTGACTACCAGACTCTTACAATAAGTAAAAATTAAAAGGTTTAAGGGGACAAACTATGTTATATAGTTTGTATGATCCCATTTTTTGAAAATGGCTTCTCTGGAAAAATCTTACAAGTCACCTAAGAATGACATATGATAAAGTATAGAGAATATATCTCAGAAGTCAAAAAAGTCCTTGAAATAAGAAGTAATGAATAAATGGGCAGAAAAGACTGGATATAGTCATGCATGTTTAAAGCCATTTTGGCAAAATTATTTAAGTTAAATAGAACCAACCATTCTAGTTGGTTTGGTCAAAGTGTCCTTTAAATTGAGAAAGGAAAATGAGAAAAGAGATCATGACATAAAAACAGTCAACGGAGGAAGTGTGTCGCCCCTGATGTTGTGGAAAATGCCAGTTCTTCAGTACTTGTCAGCAAGCTTTGCCAAGCTAGTTCCGAGTGGAAATCTGCCGTTGCCACCAACACTCTTCCTTGATTAGTTAGGATTTCAGCTGTTCCTGTTTAGAACCTCAGGCTTACCCATTGTCACGCTTACCAGGACACACCTCTCCTCTGTGTAGACTTATTTAGGCCAGGGCTTCTCCAGCCATACAGCAGATCAGAATCACCTGAAGAGTTTGATAAAACACAGATTGCTGGGCTCCATTCTCAGAATTTCTGATTCAGTAGAACTGGGATGGGGCCCAAGAATTTGCATTTCTAATAAGTTTCCAGGTGGTACTGATGCTGCTGGTCTGAGGACCACACTTTGACTTTGATTTAAGTAGTATAAAAGAATGTATCCACATAAGGTATAATCAATGTGAGTTTACACCAGCCGGGATTTCCAAACTGTCAGAAATTTAACCAGAAGCCACAAGTTAGCTTGTACTTGTGTCAACAGTTTGTGTGCCCAAACTTTTGGGCTAGCCATGTAGGCCATGTAGGGCTAGCCAAGATAACCTGAATACCCCAAGGGGGAGGTTCCCTTTAAAACATTTGGCAAATATCATTGAGAAACTCCTTTTATATCTAATGTCATTTCGTCCATGAGAACATCATAAGCAATATTACCAAAATCTGTGCTGAATTAGATGCATTATGTAAAGGGCAGGTTGAATGGTCGTATTTGTTTGTGATTGGCCAGTAATTCTCAAACTTAGACTTTCATAAGAATTTCCCTGGGGGCTTGTTATAGCTCAGATTCCCAAGCCCCACCCTAGGTATTCTGATTCAGTAGGTCTGGAGTGAGCCTGATAACTTGCATTTCTAACAAGCTCTCAGATGCTGCTGATGGATAGATGTACTTTAAGAACTGCTGTTCTAGGTGGACTAAAGCCACAACATAATGATCACCCTTTCCCTTTGTTACAGCCTAGAAATCATTTGAAAATGCTAAAAAACAAAATACAGAGGATAATATTTAAAAGCTTTTGTAGCTTCTACCTAAAATGAAAAAAAGCATATCTTAATATTTGCTTCATATTTCTTTTTAATTTTCAGGTAGAATTATACAAATAATATTAGATAGTTTTATTCGGCATATGTGAGTTTTATGAAATGATGTCATAATGTATATAATCTCTAACTTGCTTTTTTACTTAATAGTGTTTTGAGATTAATTCACACTGATGTGTAGAAAATGAATTTATTTAAAAATTACTCTAGCTTTTTTTTCAATTTATCCATTTCTCTACTAAGGGATATTGTCAAGTATTTGCTATTATAAATATTAATAATATTGTCATGGACATCTGTGTTCATGTCTTCTTGGGCCTATGGTGAAAAGTTTTCTTGCAGTGGTTCTCAAAAGTGTGGTCTAAACCTATGGGGGGTTCCTCAGACTCTTTTAGGGAGTCTACAAAATTAAAGTTTGCTTTTTTTAACTCTCGTTTCCTGTGTATACAATGGAGAAGCTACATTACATGTGATAATGTCATTCATTGGTGGATGCTTAATGGATCATGTGCTTTATAGTCTTATGTTTTAAATTTTCTTGGGTGGGCACATGCCTGTAATCCAGCACTCTGGGAGGCCAAAGCAAGAGTGCTTGAGTTCAGGAGTTTGAGACCAACCTGGGCAACCTAGCAAAACCTCGTCTCCACTAAAAGTAATAATAAAAAAAATATTAGCCAGGCATGCTGGTGTACACCTGTCATCCCGGCTACTCTAGAGGCTGAGGTGGGAGGATCGTTTGAGCCTAGGTGGTCAAAGCTACAGTGAGCCACGATTGAACCACTGCACTCCAGCCTGGGTAACAGAGCAAGAACCTGTCTCAAGTAAATTAATAAGTTTATCAGTTTTAATATCTAATGCAGTGAATATTAATAGATATAATATAAACTAAGGTCTCTTTTAGGTCCTCAATAATTTTAAGAGGTTCCTGAGACAAAAAGTTTGAGAACCACTATCTTGGAACTTATATTAAATGTGATTATCTGTGGCTTCTGCAACTTGCCTTTCACACACTACTGACTTTTTTGTTGTTTTAAATGAAAATAGAGACTTTTGTCTTTTCTAGTTGGCCAGCAATCTTCTAATCTCTACAACCTTTTCAAAGATTATTGAATACAATATTCCATCCCTTTTCGTGTATACTATATAATTTCTCTAAACCAGCTGTTTTGAAGTTTTTTAAATTGTTAGATCCTTATTTACCATCCCTTTTCTAATTTAGCCTTCAAAGTCTTCCTAACAATCTTCTTTTTATCTTTTAAAGATTGAAGAGTCACAGAGAAGACCAATACAAAGCTGGCTCTGACTTAGTTTTGTTTGTCTTTGTAGTCTTCGGTATTTTATAATCTTTCAAAGCTGAGGTTCTGTCTCTTCCTTTTTTATCGACTGCTGCTGAGTACTGCTTTAAAAACTTCTCTATTCACAAAAACAGGAAAAATCAAGAGAGGTAAATCTTTAGGTCTGGCCATCCCATTCTTGAGGACCACTGTTTTATTTTCTCTCCCATCGTAGTTTATGTTGAAAGCTCATCCAAAATTGAATCTAATTTAATTACTCTGAAATTCTCTACCTTTCTCTATTTTTGTGATGCTCAATTTTGCATTGTATTTAGAGCTATATCATTTTTCTTAGTTTTATTTCCATGGGATTCTCTCTTTCCTTTAATATTTTTAAAAATCTGCTTTCCCAAAATACAGGGCAACTATCTGACATTTTCTAGCATTATTTCCCTTTGACCTAAGGTAACAGTTTTCCCCAAGGTTCCTTCTCAATTACGCATAACTGATGTGGTCTTCCTTGTTGGTCAGAATTAAGCCAGAAGGAGTTATTTCTTTTAGTGCCTCCTTTACTTTCTGAGAGTTGTTGCCAAGCAGTTTAAACTGTTTCCAGATGTTTGCCATGCTCCTAGCTGAGTGAAGCTCCCAGCAATTCTGAGAGCTGGGGCTGCCCCCTCATGACTTTTCTGGCTCCCTTAACAGGTCTCTTCTTAAAGCTCACAGATTAGGTTCCCCATTACTTTCCTATCCTCTTAAATCAGTGTTTTTTGTTTGTTTGTTTTTGCCTCTCCCTTCTTTTAGACCTGCTTCTGCTAAAATATAGTGTTGAGCTAGAAGCATCTTTTTTGCAACATGAAGTCCAGTGCCTTCATGTTCACTGAGCTGGGTCACCCCTTTTCATTTCTAAGTTCTCATCTGGATGAACATCAGGGCACTTCTAAGAGGTAACAATGGAGCCAGGAGAAGACCTTGGAAAGGGATATATTCAAAGGAAGGAGGAAGAACTAGTCCCAAGACCCTGTGGCAGGAACAAGCTTGAGGAGTTTAAAGGAAAAACAGATCATCTGTTGGGTAGAGCAGAGCATGATGGGGAGAGGGGTGGGGGATATGGCCAGATGGACAAGTAGAGATTGGATGGCACGGGGCACTTTTGAAAGCCACAGTCAGGAGTTTGCTATTTTGTGAAGCCTCTGTGCATGAAGGACACAGGTCTCAGATCAAGAAATTGTCCTAATACAAAATGAATTGATTTATTTAAGGGTCAGACCCAATGTATAGTGTACCAAATATATTGATCTAATATGTAATCCTGCAGGTGTTAGAGGTGTGTTAGTCAAATGGTTGTGAACAGTTGGGATGCAGGAAGTTCTTCCAACTTAATGATTATCAGAAGACATTTAATAAAAATTCAAACCTTCTTAAAGAAGAAAGAGTGTATATGTTATAAAGACAGTTAATTTCATTGCAAAGTAAAAGCAATTATAAAATGAAACCCATTAGACAGATTACCTATGTTTTAAAACCTCTTGTCAAAAATGCCACTTCAGAAGAACTGCATTGAGTTCTTCAGAACCAAGGCCCTCAGCGGGAGGAGAGATTGCTGATCCTTTGTTAAAGTTGTTTATATTATTTTTATACTTGCAAAACCAGTGAGGACAATGGACTTGGACACTCACATTTCTCTTGGTGCCTGTTACTTCCTGGAATCCCTCCTTCCAGTGTCAGTATGCCTTTTCAGCCCTCCCACCACCACAAAGACTGTGGAATAGAAACATCACACTGGCCCCCATTTTCTCATTTGCCTAAATTCAGGAGATGTGGGCAAGGTAATCTTGTTTCCAAATAAAAGAAGAAATCCAAAACCAAAGCTAGATTTATTATATTTCTTCATTTTTATGATCCCATCCAATCTGGAAACTTCAGCCAAGCAGTTTTTGATTATATTAATGTGGTTATTTTTTGATGTGCACCATGTCAACACACCATCTTTCCCCATAAATGTCTCTTTCTCACACCCTTTAAAAGTAACAAACTACATCAACCACTAATAAGAACCAACTTTGTTTACATTAGTGTTTTGCAGGGTTTTACATAAGCCACTTTAAGATTTTCTTAAACTTTGAACAAACTTAAGCTCACATGGCCTAGTTATTACTCTAAAAACAAAAGCTGATGTTTTCAGAGAAGACAGTATCACCCCAGGGAATTTATCCCTGTGGGTACCCACCACTTCTTCTATTTGGAGGAGGGCCAATGTTAACCACACACCTCCAGGCCTCTTGGCAGGGCCATCCTGGTACCCAGAGTGACAGCTCTGTAATCACAAATGGGTGATGTCACATCTATCACACCTGCAGCTCCCTGGAACCAGCAGAGAATAACTGGAGATTCATGGTCCATGATCCTGGCATTTGGAAGACTGCTCCTAGGGTCCCAACTAAAATTGGGTCACTGAGACCTCATGAATGAATGCTCTCAGTTACTCCCCATCAAGGAGTAACTGTAATCTCCTGCCAAGGATTATTAGAAAATAATCCTTCTAAATCAAAAGAAAAAAGGCATGTGGCCCTCTGTGACTCCCACTCATGCTTGGAACTTGAAAGATTTAATCTCCTGCCACCTCAAGACCAAGGTAAACACAAATTGAATGTACCATTTTAAAGCAATTGTCAGTTATAGGTTATATTGAAAAGTTATTTACCACCAATGGTTAGATCTATCCCTGAAGGCCTCTTCTCATGGTTCAAAATGCTGTTCCCAGCATTCCTGCAGTGGCTGTGTTCCCCTACTGTAACTCCTGGGAGGAAGTGATAGAGAAGAACCCACACAGGGACCGCATATACTGAGGGTTCCTGTGAGTACCTCCACTTGAGTGTTTTACCCCAACTCTACTCCCAGAGCAGAAGCTGATGTGAAGGCAATGCAGGTGTCAAATCTGTAGTAATCTCTAGTTTTTGTTGAAATCTCTTAGGCAACAGGCCTGACCAAAATCAAGAGTATCATTACCAAATATCGGATGGTGTTTTACAGAGTAAAAAATGTTTAAGATTTATTCTTTTGTGGCACTTATAATAACAAATAGTTTTAACCCAGTTGTACAGATAAGTCTTGACTAAGTATGATTGATTAGTGCAAATTCACCCAATTTCTAAGTTGAACCCAGTTATTTATTTATTTATTTAGAGACAGGGTAATGGAGTGACACCCTGTCTCAAAAACTAAATAAATAAACTCAATTTTTCATTTTTCTCACCACAGTCTCATACAGGACTGAGTACTTCCCCATCCCTTGAATTTGCATGGGACTCACATGGCCAGTGGGGTGATGTGAGCAGACTTCTAATGGACAGCTAAGATTTCCCTCTGTGCTTATGCCAACATCATAAGAATATGCCTTAGATGACAGACTGCCTGCATCTCTGAAACTGGAAGCAGAGCCACCCAGCCCCAACCTCATTGTATGAACCTGAGTGTGGGTGGTTTGTTGTGCAACCTTATAGGACAACTGACTGATACTATCTTACTTAGCCCCATACCAGCCTTTTCAATTAGAGAGTAGTAACTCCGTCTTTTGGGTAAGGAAAGCAAGTCTTAGAAAGTTTAAAGGATTTGTTTAAGATCCCACTTCTGTAACTGGAAAGGCCCAGGACTCAAACCTTATACCTATCTGACTCCAAGACCTGGGCTTGTAATCACCACATCACTGTGCCTCCTGGTAATAAGTATGTTTGGGCATGAAAAACTGTTATGTGCATAAACGATGCTAAGTCAGAAAACAAAATTGCTTCCTTCTTACCTTTTCACCTTGTAGATTGTGTAACTAAGACTCAGGTAGGCACAGTGTTTTTTCCTAAGACCACAGAGCACATTAATAGCAGATATTATTTCTGTGGGTAAGGAATGCTTTTGATTCGATCATGTAGAAATCCCAGATTTAGCCCATGAGCTCTCCCTTGAGAATCTGACAAGGACATCTTTATAAATACCTACCTGACTATGATTCCCTATCATTACTGCCATATGACTTTATTTTTTAGTTGTAGAGTACTCAGAGCCCTTTGCAGAGTCTTTCATTATGCATGTAATCCACGCAGTCTTCTCAAGTGAGTTAGGCAGAATATTTAAATAGGAAATGTCAATGAAATCATGCAACGAGAAGCAAATGAGTGAGCTTTCAAACGTGTGCCACTCATTCCTTCTCCACTATGGCCTGGATGCTCCCTGAGCCCATCATATTTTAGGTCAAACAGCATACCCCCCAGATCACAAGCCTGTCTCCAGAACTGTGTTGGTTTCCCATAGAGTGGCCCTCTCTGAACTCCTGAAAGCTGAACTCATCAAATAAGGACAGCTGTGCTTTGATAGCTGGGAAATTCTATATAATGTGAAATGATATTCTAGGGGACATCTTCTTTTCCCCAGCTCTTCTCTCCCAGCAGTGGTGACCTAACTGAAAATAATCCTTCTAAATCAAAAGAAGAAAGGCATGTGGCTCTCTGTGACTCCCACTCATGCTTGGAACTTGAAAGATTTAATTTTATCTCTCATTTAGCATCTTATAGAAATTGGGACACTAAGATGGCAGCTAGAGGCTGCTTTAGTGGAACTATCAAATCCTATCCTTTTTAGTGTTTTATTGTGTAATTTTAAGTGGAAGCATTATGCTGTCAACTTTATACTGATGATAAATCTATCACTTTAAAATCATTTCCAAGCAGCACATCACTATCTGATTGGATGCTACTACTGTTACCTGTAAGGTTAATGGCTGCCTAAGATGGTACCTGTCTAAGTGTTTGCTAGAATCACTGAATCCATCACCTGTTGAGAACCTTCATATCAGCTTTCTATTACTGCATGACAATTACCACTAAGTTAATGGCTTCAAAGAACACATATTTATTATCACAGTTTCTCTGAGTTCAGAGTCTAGGCATGGCTTAACAGGATCTTCTTGCTCAAGGTTTCACAAGGCTGCAATTAGGGGGCCAGCTGGGCTTCATTCCCATCTGGAGGCTCAAATGGGGAAGAATCCACTTCCAAGCTTATTTAGTCAGAATTCTGTGGGCAGAATTCTTTTCTTTGCAGCTGCAGAATGCGTGACAGCTTGCTTCTTCAAGGCTAGCAGGAAAGCAAGAGCTAGTCTGCTTGGACTATATATATAATAATGTACTCACAGAAGTGATATCCCATCAGTGTTGCCATATAATGTAAGTTAACCATGAGAGTGACATTCCATCACCTTTGACATGTAACGACACAGAAGGGACAGCCTCTTACCTTTACCATATTCTATTGGTTAGAAGCAAGCCACAGATCCTGCCTACACTCATGGAGAGGGGATAATCAAAGGCATGATCACCAGGAGGTGGGAATCATTGAGGGGTCACCCTAGGGTCTGTCTACCTCGTTCCCAATGTCACTCCCACATGCAAAATACATTCATCCCAGCCCAAGATCCCAAAGTCTCATCTCATTGCAGCATCATCTCAAAGTCCAAACTCTCATCATCTAAATTGTGATTAGGTATTGATGGAGTGCTTGGGAGTAATCTATTAAATACAGCTGTTGGGGCACAATTCCTTTCCATCCATGGACCTGTGAAGCCAAAGAGACAAATTATATGCCCCCAGCCTGTCCAACATGTAATGGTGGGACAGCACAGGATAACCGGTGTAAAAATTCTGATTCAAAATGGGGGCAGGGTGAGGGCAAGTGAGTGGAAGGAAAAAGGGAATTACTGGTCCGTGACTCTTCTGAAATCCAGCCAGGCAAATGTTAGGAGTTCCCTGATTACATTTCAAGGCATGGGAATGGCCCTCTGTGGCTTAGGCTCCTCCCTCAGGGTTCTTGGTTCTGCCCTTCCTTTTCATGAAAGGCAGCACATGTTTGCATCCTGAGTAGTTTTATCAGCATGTTTTCCACTGCTAGTAGAATTGGAAGGGTCTGAAAGCCTCCTTTATTTCATACTCTCTTTGTCCCTTTCAGGCCAAGTGGCCAGTATTCCTGATGAAACAATTCCTTAAGAACTTTGTAGAGTTTGTGTGGATTCACTGCAGTTCACTCCATTAGGTGATGCCACATCCACAGATATTTTAAAGATAAGCCTTCCTGTTCCTTGGCCTCCTTCTGAGATGACTGAGGGACGATGCCCATATGCTTCCTTGAGGTTTTCTGGCTTGATTGAGAAGATCTGTAGGGCAGACCTTTAATTTCTTAAAAGACCCCTTCGTGTAACTGCATAGTTTTGTCTTTTGATCTTTCTAAGTTTCTAACAAAGAGCTCTACAGTCTCACTCAGACTTTTCCCTAGTGCATGCTTTCCTGAGAGTGAACCTCTTCATTTTAGCATCTGTGCCATCCAGAGATCATCGGAATTTTTTACATCATCAGATTCTGATTCTGTTTTTTGAGAAAAATTGTCCTCCCAATCTTCCTCTTTCCTCACACATTTTACTACAAGCAGAAAGAAGAAACCAGAGGGTTCCTTCAACACTTTTCTTGGAAATCTTTATACAGCCAAGTATCACTTTCAATTCTGCTTTCCACACGACCTCGGGAGACTATTTCACCGAACTTCACATTACAAAAGATTCTCCCTTCTCCTTCCTTCAGTTTCCGATTAGTGTTCCTCACTTCTGAGCCTTCACCATCAGCATCCTCAATGTCCAGTTTTCTACTCTGAGTCTGTTCATGTCATTTAGGCTTTTTCTACCATGTTCCTCAAAATTCCCCCAGCCTTCACCCACCTGGTTACAAAACCCCTTCCACATTGTTATGGATTGAACTGTGTCCCTCCCAAACTTTATACATTGAGATGCTAATCCCCAATGTGACATTGTTTAAAGATATGGACTTTAAGAAGTAATTAAGGCTATGTGAGGTCACAAGGGTAGGACCCTAATCTAATAGGGCTGGTGCCTTTATAAAAGAAAGGAAGAGCTCGGTCATGGTGGCTCACACCTGTAATCCCAGCGCTTTGAGAGGCCAAGGCAGGAGGATCACTTGAGTCCAGGAGTTCAAGACCAGTTCAAGAACAACATAGCAAGACCCTGTGTGTATTTTTTAAATATTTCAAAAAAAAAAAGGAGGAGGAAGAGACACCAGAGGTGCCCACCCAGAGAAAAGGCTATGTGAGGATACAGGTAAGAAGGCAGCCACCCCAGTCTGTGTTATTTTGTTATAGCAGCCCAAGCAAACTAATACTCATGTTTTTAGGTATTTGCTATAGCAGTTCCCCACTTCCAGGTATCAAAAGCTATACTAGTTTTCTATTGCTATGTAACAAATTACCATAAATATAACAGCTGAAAACAACACACATTTGTTAGTATCCTTGCAGTTTCTATGGGTCAGGAGTCTGGCACAGCTTCACTGACTCCTCAGGTCTCAGAGGCTGAAATTCAGGTGTCAGCTGGGCTACATTCCCCACTGCCTTCCCATCCAGAGGCTTGACAGGGCAAGAATCCACTTCGCAAAATTCATTTCCTTACAGTTCTGAGGGAATGGGGTACTGAGGCCAGAAAGGAGAAGAAGCCTGGTTTGTTGATGAACAGGCAACCCCATAGGCAAGCCGACTCAGTTGTGCCAGGGATGCTCTGAGATCACATGGAGCACACCTCACAAGTAGCCCAGCAAGGAGCAAGGAAGTTGGGACATCTACCCACCAACTCCAAGCTTTCTTGGTTGTGCGTTGCTCCCAGGAGTTAATTTCCTGGCAACTCCACACTTGGCCATGCATTCCCCAACAGCCAGAGGACACCTTGTGGTAGAGAGACTCAGGGAAACTTCAGCATGGATAGGAAATTTCTGCAGGTGGCCTCTGGGGTGGACTGAGGGGATAAAGGCACAGCACCGGTGGCAACTGCTATCAGTATAATATCAGCTTTCATTTCCTTAACAGATGTTTATTGTGCACCTACTATGTTCTGAGAGAAAAAACAACAGTATTTGGTCTTCACCTTCACAGAGTGCACAGTCTAGTGAGGGAGAAAGAATTGTAAAGACAAATGAAAACATAATGTTATAACAGAAGTATAAATATTTTGTTATGAAAGCTTTGAGAACAAAATGACTATACTTCCTACAAAATTTGGAGATGTAACTTTGGATTTTATGGAAGAGTATAGTCTTATATTCATACCTAATGAATGAATATCCCTATGTAAACAAATAGTAACTTTACAAAGAGGCAGTGACAATGTATTGCTTAAGAGCCCTCTGGAGCCAAACCATCCAAGATAAATAAAAAAATCTTGATTCTTCATATTCCAGCTATATGACCTAGTGCAAGTTACTTAACCTCTGTGAGCTTCTGTTTCCTCATCTGTTAGAAGTGGATATAACAGTACTACCTCATAGGGCTGGAGTAAGGATTGAATAGCTTAATACATTAAAACATTAGCAGTCAAGAAATAAAAAATGAATCAAACCAAATGGTCACATGTACAAAGTATAATGAAAATTCCCTTTTTTAAGAAGAGAACAATATTTTGAGATTTTCTCTCTCAATTAATAAAACAAAAATTATACATGTATGTCTTCATCATTTTAGGAATACCATTTGGAATAATTTATATGTAACTCTCTAAACCGTACAAGTGTGAGTTCTCAGAGTTCTTATAAATTTGAATGGAAAGGCCAGGCGCAATGGCTCATGCCTATAATCCCAGCACTTTGGGAGGCAGAGGCAGGAGGATCACTTGAGGTCAGGAGTTCGAGACCAGCCTGGCCAACATGGTAAAACCCTGTCTCTACTAAATTTACAAAAATTAGCCTGGTGTGGTGGCGGGCACCTGTAATCCCAGCTACTCGGGAGGCTGAGGCAGGAGAATCACTTGAACCCAGGAGGCGGAGGTTGCAGTAAGCAGAGATCGTGCCACTGCACTCCAGCCTGAGTGACAGAGTGAGACTCCATTTAAAAAAAAAAGAAAAGAAAAGGAAAAGAAAAAACATTGAATGGAAAAATACCGCAGGTCTCTTTCACTTGTGGGTGCATTCAAGTGTGAGGTTTCTAAGGGCAGGCTTCCAGTGGTATCTTTCACCTGAAACCTGCAGGCTGCTGCAGTGCTGCAGGCCATTGCTCCTACCATGAAGCAGGAGGCAGAGCAATGACTACTTGCAGCAGCATCTGACATTAGCAGCCCTCACCTCCCGCCTCATGGGTCAGCAGCATCTTTGCAGGACATGTGAGCTGTGAGGCTGGAAACCTCATTGGCTGGAAACCCCAAGCCAAGTTCACTTTCTGAAGTCTGTAGGGGTGGGGAAAAGGAGCACTTTTTAAACAACACTAAGGAGAGGTGCATGAGGAAATAGCTTTCGTCAAATCTCCATGTCCTAAAGCCAGATCCCACTTAGCTTAGAGCAGAAAGCTGGAGAAACAGCTGAATGTGATAAACCTTCTCTAGAAATGAAACCCTGTGGTATGTTTAGCAGATATTTTTATCTATAGAAGAAAATGTGCTTCCTTTGAGAGTTATTTCTAAAAACCTTTCATTTTTATGTTTTTACCACTTGAGAGCACTGAGTATTCATCATAGGCAGCTTAGCAAAATTAGAAAACTGGAGAAAAAAATAAAGACCTGTCTTTTTTTTGAATTTTGAATTTTGGTGTATTTTTTACACCATTTTAACACAGACACATGTGCGTACACATACACGAAAGGGTGAGATTGTTGACTGTATTTACACAGTTTTGATTTCATTTTTTCACCAAATTTCAGGGGTTACCAAAGTTTCTTGGTTCTCAGTAACTTGTCACAGCACCTCCTAGAAAAAAAAATAAATAAAAATAAAAGCCATTCCATTTATTAGGTAATTCAGTCCAAACTGTAAGTATGGCATAACAACAAATACATGTAAATTGAAATTTGCAAAATACTTATATTTCATTCTGAAACACTGGTGAAATGTGCAGGCCTGCTGGACACCGCCTCACTTCTCCAACCTTGGAACCAGGTTGGATACCACACCCTCACCCTCATTTCCTGTTCCACATTGATTTTCACACAGGACTTTTTGTTTGTTTGTTTTTGGTCATGGCAACTGCCAGATACACTGCTTTACATTTGATGTCATCAAAATACATGTAGTGCAATCTAATGTTGAAAGATGCACTAGTAATTTAGAAGGTGTCTCACAAGTTAAATATCGTTGTTGCCTTCAAAATTTTAAAATAGCCTGCCACAGCATTGTAAGTTCGCTGCAGTTAGTTCCCTGGGGTACCTTGGCATATGGTTTGGAAACTATGAACTTAGTTTCCTTTTGACAGCAAGATTATTTTTATTATTTTTCTTTTTTTTCTTTTTCTGTTTTTGTTTGTTTTGGATTTGCAATATTATTTTAAGTGTCCACATTAGAATTCTACAGATGTGCCATAATTTTAAAACCCTCTTATTGTTGGAAATTTATGTTGATTGTTAGTTTATTTTTATTGATAATTTCATTGTCTTCAAACGGGTAAGAAACTCCATTGTTTTATGTAAAGGTCGAGTCTTTGAATCCACAATTACTACCCATAGTTATTTGGCCTATTTATATTCTTACCTTGCAGTTTCAGAGCCCAGTGAGCCCAATTAGCTGGTGGCACCTGCAGTCCTGAATGCTATGATTTTTCACCTTCCAAATCCTATGATCTTCATGGTTTTGTCACTGATTTGATTTTGGAAACAGTGAGCCTAAAACAGGAAACTATTTTTTAACCCATCAGCTGCGCTTCAGATTTTCAAGTTAATGAATAAAAATAAAGCCAAGGAATTGACAAGCCTATAAATTGTCAGCAACCAGCAAAGCTAGGAGAACACAGGGAAGGAATGAAGACAGAGCCAGGCACAGTGGCATGCACCTGTAGTTCCAGCTACTGGGGAGTCTGAGGCAGGAGGATCATTTGAGCTCAGGAGTTCAAGGCTGCAGTGAGCTAGGATGGTGCCTGTGAATAGCCACTGTACTCTAGCCTGAGAAACATAGCAAGACCTTCTCCGTAAGAAAAAGAAAAGAAAAAAATATGAAGACAAATAAAAATCATTGTGAAATTCAAAAAAGTCTTACTTTTGATAACTTCACACCAAAAACCCGTGCACAGCACTATGCCCTACACCATCCATGGGCGTGGTGTAGCAAGGGAAGATGTGAGGGGACTACCCAGCATGGCGCATAGCTTCTTGGCACAGCGTTGTAGAAAGTGGCTCATATTTGAAGTTAGCTCTTCAATTAAGGGTAGATCCTCAATGGATTATTCTTCCATTAGCTTTAAACTAGCATGAATCAAGTCAAATGAGAGGGTGTCCGGGCAGAGAGTGAGAACATCAGGATGAAGGAGTTATCAAATATAAGGAGATGGTGTTGAAGCTAGAGCTTATGAAGGTGGTGGAGGTCATTGATGGTGGAGAAGGAAGTGGTTTGGAGGTGATGGAGGTGGTTAAAGGTGGTGGAAGTGGTGGTGGTGGAAGCTGTGGAGACAGTGATGCCAGTGGAGATGGCTGGTGGATGTGGTGGTGGCAGTGGTGGTAGTGGTAGTAATAATACTTTTTTAACCTTCATGAATGGCTACTTGTAGATGTAAATGGCCCGCATCTATTTTATGCCCAGTTATAAAGTTCTGTTGCCCACAAACCAATGTGAAGAATCCTTACTTAATTGCTTATAACAGATTCATAATTTGTTTGTTTGTTTCTGTGAGATGCGAACTCACTTTGGGATGTAGGACTGGGGCTCATAGTTAGTAACATATTTGAACACACATTACCCCATCTAAGCCCCTGTGAGGTAGGTATTATCCTTCTTTTACAGACTGGGTGATCTGAGGCTCAGAGAACCCAAAGGACTCACCAACAGTCACACAACTCTCAAATAGCAGAGCTGAGGCGTGCTCCACCCAGCTCAGGAGACTCCAGAGCCAGGGCCTTTCCACAAAGCACAGAGCTGTGTTTGAGATCGCTGTGACTTGTCAAGGGTATAATGGGAACACTAGCACATTATAAGACAGAGAGGTAAGGAGAAAACATGAACCTTAATTTTAAGAAAACAGATAAGTTGGAAGAAATTCTGTTACCTTTATAATATTTCTACCCCATCCTGGACATGGCATAAAAATCTTTCTAGAAGTACCTTCCAAGTGTACAAATTCTACTCTTTTCTAAGGTATTCACCATATCCATACCTTTTTTAGGTATTCAACATTCAATTTGTTCAGCATTATTGAATACCCGTCATGGGCTAGGCATGATGTCAGTGCTTGCTGAGATGTGAAACTGAGTATGTCAGTGACTGAGATATTGATAACCAAGACAGGCTAAAATTTCTATAGGACTGGACAAAAGTTGCATTTTCTGATACAGTTCTCCTATGCCTTACTTATTTTTATAGCAAAAACTCTTTCTGCCAAATTTTGAGATAAGTATGTTTAAGTCTTTCTCTAGAATTGTGATTTTCCTATGTTTTTCTTACAATATTTTATTGTCTAATATTGGACCTCATATTCAGCATTGGGTTAAAATTGTCTTGACTACAAGACATACCATGACCCTAAAGTGGGATTGTTGGATCATAAAGCGTATGTACCATTGAATTTAGTAAGTACTGACAGATGGCTCTCCAGAATGACGGTACCAGTGTACTCCCCACCAGTAAAGCACAAGGTTGCACACCTTACATTCTCACCATGCCCTGGTATTATAAACTGAATATTTGCAGGTCTAAGGAGGATTTCATTGTGGTTTTTATTTCCTCTCTTTTCACTATTGTGTTTGAGCATCTCTTCATATCTTGTTAACTGTTGGACCATTCATTTGGTGAATTGCATATTCAAATCCTTTGTCAACTTTCCTGTTGTTTTGCGAGAATTCTTGCATTACTAAGAGTTTCTTTAATGCATTTAACTTTAAATGCCCCCTTGTCTTATACTTTCAAACCTGATTTCTCTTTGTTTGTACCTATCTTAGTCTAATACTGTACTTTTATTTGGGTATCTGTAAGCATTGTCTTATAAACAGCATATAGTTGTTTAGTTTTATGTTGTTTTGTCTTTATTCAGTCTGACATTTATTGGAATTTGGTACAATAATTTGGTACATTTATATTTAGTATCATAACTCATCTACTTGATTTCATTTCTTCCCTATTACTTAATGCTTTATTTAATGTACATTTTTATTTTCTCCTCTTCCTTATTTCTTGCTGATTTGATCATGTTGCTTTTCATTCTGTTCCTCTCCTTTATTAACTTGGAGTTTCCACTGTTCCATTCCACTAATGGATTCTCCACTTTCTGTGCTGTTGTGATCAGATACCTTCCCTTTTTACTATATTTTTCAACAAACTCCCAACTCACTCCCCCAATAATATTAACTGTATCTCTCCCCACAAAATGCAATATGTCCTCCCTATTTCTGATTCCAATAAGATGAGACAATTAGAAAAATGTCTTCCATTCCTCTTCTTCCCTTTCTCCACTCCTTGTGACACAGAGACTTTGAAATACTTTTATTTCCCTAACTCCTAGATGTTGATGGACTCATTTTATACATACAGCACTAAATTATTATTAGAATTTTCTGCATATTGTGTTTTAAGAGCCCTTATTTAGCAATTTTATAACACATCATTCCTAGACAGTCTTACTTATCCATTCAGAATTAATTCAATAAAGAGAGAGAGAAACAGAGAGAGAGATACAGACTGAGCACACACCAGGTGTGTTGCTTAACACAGCAGTCCCCAACCTTTTTGGCACCAGGGACTGGTTTTGTGGAAGACAGTTTTTCCACAGACAGGGGTGCGGATGGTTTCAGGATGGAAGTGTTCCATCTCAAATGATCAGGCATTAGATTCTCATAAGGAGCACACAACCTAGATCCCTCACATGCTTGGTTCACCATAGGGTTTGCAACCCTATGAGAATATAATGTCGCTGCTGATCTGACAAGAGGCAGAGCTCAGCTGGTAATGCTCACCGGCCCACCACTCACCTCCTGCTGTGCTCCCTGCTTCCCAACAGTCAACAGACACTCCGGGTATGGGTCCATGACCCGCGGGTTGGACACCCCTGAATTAACTGAATTAACAAGTTTCCCCCTCCTCCTCATGTTTACTTCATCTTGAGGTCAATGTCTAGATTAGCACTATTCCGTAGAACTTTCTGTGATCATGTAAATGTCCACTAGGGTACCTACCAGATACATGGAGATATGGAGCTCTGGAAATATGTTGAGGATGACTCAGAATTGAATTTTTGATTTGATTTTATTTTAATTAATTTTAATTTAAATAGTCACATATGTCTAGTGGGTACCATATTGAAAGGGAAGATCTAGATCATCTGTTATTTGGATAAAGTCTTGCCTAGCATTACCTCAAAATGGTTAGAGATAACTGTAATATATGATCATGTTTTGCTTTCTTAAATCTAACATATAATCACGTATATATTTGGTTTTGGTTTTGCTAATGAGTGAATTATATCGTGGTTGAGTATAGGTTTCCCAGTCCTTTCCTTTCAGGCTGGGCTTGCTAGAAGCAGAACCTCAGATGGGGATTCTTCTGCAAGTGACTTACTGAGGGAGATGTCTCAGGAGGCACCCGTGACAGAATAAGGTAGGCAGGAGAGTGCTGAAGAATATTATGGACAGAGCTGTGGTTTCAGTTCCAGTCTAGCCTGAGCCTGAGACCATGGAGTATCAATGGCACCATGGGGTTGTCTCACCTGGAGATAGCAATTCTGACTTTTATTACCATTTTTCAATAAGTCATTAGCTGAGACCATCCCCAAAGAAAGGCATAACACCGCAGGCCCCGCTGCATGAGGCTGTGAGCACTCTCTGGATAACTGTGGGCTGTTCTCAGGAGGAGTGGCCTGCCATTGCCCGTCAGCCACCACACTCAGACCTAAGTCAACTGCAGGACTGTACTTATTTAAACTTCAGGTTTTTAGATAATAAGCCCATTGGTATTCTCATTCTTTCTTGGAAGTATGTAAGAGTTTTTTTCATTCTTAGAATTAAGGAATTTTCTAGGATATGCCTACATAAGTATTTTTTTTTTTTTTTTTCAAATCAGCCCATTAATATTCTCTCTTTCCTGGAAATATGTAAGAGACTTTTTTTATTCTAAGAGTGAAAAATTTTTCAGGATATGCCTAGGTGTGTCTTTTTTTTTTTTTTTTTTAATCAGTCCTGCCCTGAACTTAATGACATTTTTTTAAGCTGTCTATTCAGGTCCTTAGCTCAAGGAAATTATCATCTATTATTTGTTAAATTCTGCCCGCCATCTGTTCCTTTTTATTCTTCTGACACTCCCTTATTTTGCATGTTAAGTCTCTTTTTCCCCTATGACTTTCCTCTCTTTATATTTTTGCATAGGTTTTGAGACATCTCTTCTACTTGTCAGTCTAAACCTCATGTCTCAGCAGTGACCATCTTCTCCTTCAATCAATGCTTTGAATTGCCTATTTCCAGACACTCTCTTTTGTGTCGTGCTTGAATCAACAGAGATGCTCTTGTTGCTTTTTACATTCAAGTTGTCATCTGTCTCTTCCGGTAGCTCTGTTTTGTTGGGTAAGAGTTTAATCTGTTCTGAGCCATTGTTCTCTCTCTCTCTCTCTCTCTCTCTCTTTCTCTCTCTCTTTCTCTGGCTGCTGGATACCTTTGGTTACAATATATTAATATATATATATTTTTTCTGGCTATTTTCTTTCTCTGTGTGGTAGTAGTCCCATGATTAGAGGAAGACAAAATGGAAACTACACCTGGGGACTGATGGCGTCATGCAGGCAGACTGTCAATTCCCCATTGAGATGCACGGAGGAAGCCCTCTCTTCCTCCACCATCTCTCAGACTCTCCCAACCTCCAGGGCAGAGACTCTGTATAGCTTTTAAACACCACATCTCCAGAGCTGGGAAATCCATGGTGCCATAGTTCACGGTCTTGGGTCCCCATATCACTGTGAGCCATGTTCTTCCCAGGACCTGAGCCTGCTGTCCACCCATGAGCAGCTAGAGCGCAACCTCTTCCCCATCCAGGTGGAAGCAAGCCCACAAGCTCTCTCTGTTGAGATGTCCTCAGCACCCAAGCCTTGCTGGTCCAACTGCCCATCAGCCCCAGACGCCATGTGGTCAAAAGAAGTGGACACCCTGGAGTTGAACATGGAGGAGAGGGAGAATTGTTTAGGTCATGATGGTCCCAGAATCCTCCTCCTGCTTTCCGCAATCCTTCTGAAGAGACCTGAATTCAAATTTTCATTGTTCCCTTTTAGGATCTTTGTTTCAACAAATGCCAGCCAAATACCAAGCCCAGTGCTGAGGACACAACATTGAATAAATCAGGGATGAGTCCTTCCTTCTAGGAATGTTTACTCCAAAGGGGAAATAATTGTCCATGTGATCTAGCTCTAATTACAGAGTGTTGTGAATGGGCAAATAAAGGCTGTGGTGGAGGGCAGTGTTGCTGATTC
This sequence comes from Homo sapiens, assembly GCF_000001405.40. Classification (NCBI taxonomy): domain Eukaryota; kingdom Metazoa; phylum Chordata; class Mammalia; order Primates; family Hominidae; genus Homo; species Homo sapiens. The sequence continues at coordinate 9,620,120 of NC_000020.11, read as the reverse complement.
ATATTTCTGCCCTCACTTTCTGTACCCACCTTGTTACAACAGAACTTCCGTCCATGTTATCTGTACACTAAAGGTGTCCATTTCATTCCATCTCATCCTTGGACAACGTTTAACAAGTTGCATGTGAAAAAAGGTGGCTGAGATGATGGAAAATCTAGAATTCAGGTGATCTGATGATTGGCTGAGAGTACTGATGATTGGCTGAGAGCACTAATGATTGGCTGAGAGCACTGATGATTGTCTGAGAGCACTGATGATTGGTTGAGAGCACTGATGATTGGTTGAGAGCCCTGGTGATCTTCTGTCAAAGAATCAAGGGAGGGAAGTAAACAATTACTTTCTTCAAACATTGAATGACTGTCCCACAGCAGGGGAATTAATAACCTCTAGGAATCCCCTGGAAGGAAAAATAGGAAGAGGTAAGTGAAGGCAGCACGGAGAGACTCCAGTACTTTACCTCAATAGGGCAAGACTTGGAAATGTGTTATCCAGCAATGCAAGGGGCTGCCTTGGAAAGGCGAGCTCCTCATCTTTAGGAATGTTCAAATATTTATCCAACGGCACCCTTAAAAGGGACCTGAACACAGCAGACAGGGCAGGAGAAAAAGCCAGGAAGAACTGGGAGTTGAGAAGTTTGTTAGGGATTTGGTGTCTGAGAAATGAGAGTATTGGGCAGTGAAAAGGGGTAAGAGAAGTGTGGCCAGGGTTGCCAAGTGTGTCTCCTTCAAAGAGAAGCGTGGAAGGAATAGAATTGTTTTTCAGTTTTATCTTGCCATGTCCTAGATAATAGCTAAGTTTCCTGAGATCAAAAGCAGTCATGGCTTTTTTCTTCCAAACTTTCTTTGTTTCTATTTTCTCTGGTCTACCTAAAGTAAAACAACAGTAAACAATAGGATCTGGCCAGGCACAGTGGCTCACACTTGTAATCCCAGCACTTTGGGAGGCTGAGGCAGGCAGATCATTTGAACCCAGGAGTTCCAGACCAGGCTGGGCAACAAGGCGAAACCCTGTTTCTACTAAAAATACAAAAATTATCTAGTTGTGGTGGTACACACCTGTAGTCCCAGCTACTCAGGAGGCTGAGGTGGGAAGATCACTTGAGCCAAAGAGGTCAAGGCTTCCGTGAGCCATGATCCCATCACTGCACTCCAGCCTGGGCAACAGTGAGATTAAAAAAAAAAAAAAAAAAAAAAAAAAAAAAAAAACGAAAGAAAGAGAGAGAAAAGAATCTGAGAGAAGCCACTTTCTACCTTCCTTTCTTCCTCTTAAAACCTCCAGTCCTGAAACATATGATATGTTATGAAAATATCGATTCATCTCAGCTTTTCCTTAAGTTGCTTGTACTTATAGAACTGTACCTGTCACCCTGCTCAATAAAGATTTGATGATTGAATTAAAAATAAGTTCCAGCCGGGCGCAGTGGCTCACGCCTGTAATCCCAGCACTTTGGGAGGCCAAGGTGGGTGGATCACGAGGTCAGGAGTTCAAGACCAGCCTGGACAACATGGTGAAACCCCATCTCTACTAAAAATACAAAAAAAAAAAAATTAGCTGGGCCTGGTGGCACATGCCTGCAATCTCAGCTACTCGGGAGGCTGTGGCAGGAAAATTACTTGAACTCGGGAAGCAGAGGTTGCAGTGAGCCAAGATTGTGCCATTACACTCCAGCCTGGGTGACAGAGCGAGACTCTGTCTCAAAAAAAAAAAAAAAAAAAAAGTTCCAGGCCGTAATAGTCTGTCCTGTGTATCAACATATGTCTCAGCAATAACACTGGGCAGGGGATCTTAACAGAAAACTCTGTAGCCACATGGAGTGGAGCTATGTTTTATCAATTTGATTATAATTTAGAGGGGTTAAAACTTGGGGGGGTACCTGACTCTTTGGAGTTATGTAGTATTTACTGTATGTTCTGGCACTTCCTAGAGCTGTTCCTTCTCCCTTGATAGTGTCGCCCAGCGCTGTATGTTCCTTGGAGTATGCTGTCATCTAGTTGTGTGAGAGCCACATTACAAGCCTATTTGTCACATGCTTACATAATGTTTATTTTTCCTTATACTAATATTACCTCCACTGAATGTTAATTCGTTGTAGCGTTTCTTTTGATAGGTTCGACCTTTTCTTCTGAGATGTATCTTCAATTTCAGGACACAATTTAGAGGCTTAAAGGTATCTTTGATGCTTTGACAACAAACCTCATGTAAACTTCCACTTTTTTTATTTTTCGTGCTTTGGTAGAAGAGCTGTTCAGATAAGAATTGGGATTCTTGCCGGGCGTCGTGGCTCACGCCTGTAATCCTAGCACTTTGGGAGGCCGAGGCGGGTGGATCACGAGGTCAGGAGATCGAGACCATCCTGGCTAACACGGTGAAACCCCGTCTCTACTAAAAATACAAAAAATCAGCCGGCCGTGGTGGTGGGCGCCTGTAGTCCCAGCTACTCGGGAGGCTGAGGCGGAAGAATGGCGCGAACCTAAGAGGTGGAGCTTGCAGTGAGCCGAGATCGCACCACTGCACTCCAGCCTGGGTGACAGAGCGAGACTCCATTTCAAAAAAAAAAAAAAAAAAAAAAAAGGATTGGGATTCTTGGGTCTCATCCCTGCAAATTGAGTAAGTCTCTCAGCCTCAGTTTTATCATATTACAATTAAGCAATTAAGCGCTTAACTGTGCTAGCTGTTTCCAATGTCATTACATTAACCAACTGGTATAAAAATAAAATCGTCTGGGAAGAATTACTTACCGTACAGATCTGGGGCCCAATCCCCAGAGTTTTGACTCAATGTCTTTGAGAACCACTGGGCTAACTCGTTTCTTTCCACTGATTGAAATTTTAAATGGTTAAAGCAGCCTGGCTTTCTCAAGAAAAGTACACGGGCGCCACCTAGTGTCCCTGAAAAGTTCGTACAGCTCACACATCAGATGTATTGAAGCTTTAACTTGGCAGGGTTACCAGTTATAAATGCAATCGAATTTGCATTTTAATTAGTGAAGCCGATTATGTATTGAGATAAACAAGTGTTGTGCCATCGACTCACTTGGAATAATTAGTTTGATCTCACTTTTGATTTATGACTTGGCATTTTTCTGGACTCAGTTATGCCTCTCAGGCTTATTCTGTCTGAATCACACACAATTGCAATAGTCCAGCTTTTTGCAATTATCCGTATTTTTGTACAACTCCAGAAAAACCAAAGTGAAAGAATAAACAAAAAGATTTTCCCAGAAGAAAATGGCAATTTCTAACTTCTTCCTATGCCTACTGGCATTGTGGGACAGACTGCCAAGGAATTCAACCACATTCCACCCACTACCCACCCCTGGACTTCTATCCTTAGACTCTCACTGCCCCCAGAATAGGGAAGGTTATCAGGCCCCTAAGGAAGGACGCATGCTTTGCTTGGCTCTCTGGGCCTTGTCTGGGCACTGCACCCCAGTGTATTATCACCCTGCTGTGCCATAGAGCCCCACATCCCACAGTGCAAGCCACAGGCTAGCAGCAGCAGCATCCCCTGGGAGCTTGTTAGATGTGGAATCTCAGTCCCCAGCCCAGCCCTGAAGGATGAGAATCTATTTTCGCAAGATGCCCGGGGGATGTATATATGTGTTAAAGTTTGAGAAACCCTACCATAGAGAACACAAAGGCTTTAGCCGAAGAGAACGCTGATTCCCTTCCCAACATGCTACTTGTCTTTGCCGTGTTTCCAGCAGCATAAAATAGTCTGGAAGGATGAACATTGGGCACATCTGGCGTTGACATTAGAATCTGCTACTCGCTACTGGCGTAATTTGAGGAGCACCTGAAACTCTCTGTGCTTTCAGTTCCTCATCTGTAATATAGGAACTGCCCTTTTTAATTCAGGAAGTTGTTGTGGGCTAACATGTGTACTGTATTTGACATCATGCATGGTTCATAGTGATAAATATTAATTTCATTTCTACCCATCCCCTGCTTCCAGGTAGAAGTACAATGGAGTGTAGTTTCAACATTGCTTTATTTTAAAAATTAGCCACAGTGTCTTTGACATGCTTCCCATCAGAGGTGGTGTCTACCTTCCCTCCCCTTGACGTGGGACTGGCTCCTGATTCTCTTGTAACCAGAAGAATGGGGAAGAAGTTACTCTGAGGCTTCTCAGCACTAGAAAAGGAAAGGCCATGTAGCTTTCACCGGTTTTCTTGGGTTGCTTGCTGTGGGGGCAGCATGCAGCATTGAGAAAACTCCATGCTGGAGAGGCCTCATGTGGTGCTCCAGCAGACTGCCTAGCTGTGCCCCCAGACAAGAGTCACCATCCGCTGCCAGGCCACGGGAGTGAGCATCATGGATGTCTGGCCCTTGTGCCCTCAGGTGGCTGCAGCCCCAGCCAATATCTGACTACAGTGATCGACAACTGCCCAGCAGATGCCCTTCCAAAATTCCTGACCCACACGATTATGCAAAATCAAAGAGTTGTTTGGGGGTGATTTATTATGCAGCAGCAGTAACTGGAACACACTTTGGTTGGTGGTTTTTGTTATAGTTTTTACTTCTTCAACGAAGGACTTATTCTAAGTCAAGATTCGACAAACTGTAGCCCTCTGGCCAAATCTAGCCTACATCTGTTTTAGGTTATTGTGAATTTTCTTTAATAGACTTTGCTTTTTAGAGCAGTTTTAGGTTCACTGCAAAATTAAGTGGAAAGTACAGAGATTTCCATATGCCCCCTGCCCCTACACATGCACAGCCTCCCCCTTGATCGACATTCTCTACCAAAGTGGCATGTTTGTTGCAGTCAAAGAACCTCCATGGACACGTCATTATCACTCAAAGTCCATAGTTCACATCAGGGTTCACTTTTCATTTGCACATTCTATGGGTTTTGACAAGTGTCTGAGCTGTATCTACCATTGTCATATCATAAAGAATCGCTGCCCTAAAAAATCCTCTGTGCTCTACCTGTTCATCCCTCCCACACCCTAACCCCGGACAACCACTAATCCTTTTATTGCCACCTTAGTTTTACCTGTTCCAGTGAGTCCTGTGGTTGGAATTATATATTACATAGCTTTTCTCAGATTGGCTTCTTTTACTTAGTAATATGCATTTGTTTCCTTCATATCTTTTCATGGCTCGGTAGCACATTTGTATATATGTTAATACATTGTGGCTACAATAATTTTGAACAAATTGATCTGTTAGATTAAGAGTAACAAGTTAAAAATTTCATTTTACCTTCACTTATTTCTTCTCTGATGTTCTTTCTTTTGTTATGTAGATATGACCTTCTGACCTATAACAATTTTTATTGCCTTGAATAACTTCTTTGAACATTTAACAAGGCAGATCTGCTAGCATCAAATTCCCTGAATTTTTGTTTGTCTGAGAAAGCCTTTAAGTCTCCTTTACTTTTGGAGGATAATGTCACAGAGTATAGAATGCTAGACTGGTGGAGTTTTTTTCTCAACACATTCAATATTTCACTCCACTGTCTTCTTGCTTGCATGGTTTCCATGAAGTCAGATGAAATTCTTACCTTTGTTCCTCTAAGGAAGTAAGGTGTTTTTCACCTTTGGCATCTTTTGGGATTTTTTTCCTTATCTGATTTTTCTGTAGTTTGAAAACAATGTGGCTAGGCTTAATTTTGACATTCATCGTGGTTGGTGTTCTCTGAGCTTCCTGGATCTGTGGTTTGGTGTCTGATTTTCAGTCATTATTGTTTCCAACTTTCCATCTGTTCCTTTCTCTCTGTCTTCTCCTTTTGGTATTCCTATTAAACATATACCTTTTCTAATTATCCCACAGTCCTTGGATATTCTATGCCTTTTTCATTCAGCATTTTTTCCCTTTGCTTTTCAGTTCTGGATGTTTCTATTGAGATATCCTCAGCCTCAGAGAGTCTTTCTCAGCTGTGCCCAGCCTACTAATGAGCCCGTGAGAAGCATCCTTCATTTGTTAGTGTTTTTGATCTCTCGCATTTCTCTTTTATTCTTTCTTAGAACTTTGATCTCTCTATTTACATTGCCCATCTGTTCTTGCTTACTGTCCACTTTATCCATTAGAGCCCTTAGCACATGAATCATAGTTATTTTAAATCCCCAGTCTCATAGTTCCAACATCCGTGCCATAGCTGAGTCTGGTTCTGACATTTGCTCTGTCTTTTCAGACTGTGGTCTTTACCTTTTTTTATGCCTTGTGATTGTTTGTTGATAGCCAGATGTGATGCACTGGGTCAGAAACGGTGGCAAATAGGCCTTTGGTGAGGTGTGGGGAAGGGAAGGGTTCCATAGCCCTGTGATTAGGACTCAGTGTGTAGACCTGTGATTAGGACCCAGTCTGTCTTGAGCCTGTGCCCTGGACTGTGAGCTTCATTCAGCTTCTCAGTTTTTCCCTGAGCTAGGACAGGGTGGCTAGGGGGAAATGGAGTTGGGTTTTTATTTTCCTCCAGGTCCATTAGGCTCTGCAAAAAAATTAAAAACCAACAGTTTAAGCTCTGATAAAGTGATTTCTATTGAGGGAAGGCCTTGTTAAGAACTAAATGCTATGGCATATTTTTAAGTGGTTTCTTTTTCCCTCCTCCTGACAGAAGCATGAACAGATTTTTCTCTGATAGTCACTGTGAGAACCTGGTTAAGCTCCTGGAGATAAAACTCACAAAAGGGTGGGTGCCCCCTCAGATTGGGCCCTCCTGGAGATTTTAACTCCCAGACCTGTGCACACTGAGCTCCCAGCAACTCCTCAATCCCAGTTCAGATTTCCTACCCAGTACTGGTTCCCATGGACAGTTCTGCCTGTGGGTTTCTGCTCTGGTAAGCTGTGATCTTCTGTATCCTCCTGTCTGCCTCTCCAAATTTGGAGGAGCAGTTTGCCCTGTGGCCTTACTTCTCTGACAGAACTAAGAAGATTCTTGAAATTTTCTGTTTGTTTAGTTTTTAAATTATTGTTAGGATGGCATGGCAACCTCCAAGCTTCCTACGTGTCACTGGAAAATGGACATCCCATCTGTTTTTGTCAATAAAGTTTTATTGGAATACAACCACACTCATTCATTTCTACATTTTCTATTGCCACTTCTGTGCTGTGGCAGAGTAGTTAAGTAGTTGCCACAGAGACTTGATGGCCCACAAAACCTAAAATATTAGCTCTTTGGACTTTTGTAGACAATTTTTCATCATGTCTGTTCTAGGTAATAGGGATTGAATAATAGGTAAAATAAAGTCTATTTTTAATAGATTGTATAGTCTAATGGGGGGGGAGATACAGTAAAAACTAATAAACATCACGTGGTGATAAATGTCATGAGGAAACTAGAGAAAAGGGGAAAAAGTGACAGGGTAATGGGGTGGTCCAAGAAGGTAAAGTAACATTTCAGCAAAGATGAGAATGGGTTGAGGGAGCGCCTCTGGGGGTAGCTGGGTGATATGGTTTGGATCTTTGTAACCTGCTCAAATCTCATGTTGCATTGTAATCACTCATGTTGGAGCCTGGGCCTGGTGGGAGGTGATTGGATCGGGGGGGTGGAGTTCTCACGAACGGTTTAGCACCAACCGTCTTGGTACTGTCCTCATGATAATGAGTGAGTTCTTGCAAGATCTGGTTGTTTACAAATGTGCGGCCCCTCCCCACTCTCTCTCTTGCTCCTGCTCTGGCCATGTGACATGGCTGTTTCTCCTTTGCCTTCTGCTGTGATTGTAAGTTTCCTGAGGTCTCCCCAGAAGCTGAGCAGATGCCAGACTTATGCTTCCTGTACAGCCTGCAGAACCTTGAACCAATTAAGCCTCTTTTCTTTATAAATTACCCAGTCTCAGGTGTTTCTTTATAGCAGTGTGAGAACGGCCAAATACACTGAGAAATATGTTCTCCAGACGGAGACGACATTAAGAGGAAATGCGCTAAGTGTGCCAGGAGGAACAACAGACAGGGCCCAGTGAGAACTGGAGCCGCGTGTAGGAGCTGAGGGCAGGGCGGCCCCAGAGGACGGGCCTCATTGAGAGCATTAGATTTGGGGGTCTGCTGTCTGCTCTGTTTCAGTGTCTAATCAGTACATATCCCTGCAGCATTTTCCATGGGGGGCCAGACACCCTGTGCCTCAGGGGCATGGGGGTGGCAGAATGACATTGTTTTGCCTGCAAAGAGGAGAACAGAGTTTTTCAGGACGGCTCCCTAGAAGAGACATCACAGTGGTAGTTCCTGCACAAAGAATTTATGGAGGAAGTGTTCCCAAGAAAAACTAGTAATTGCATGAAGGAAATAGGCAGGAAAGGGACAAAAGTGAGTAATGGACAGTCTCAAGTAAATTCCCACCTCTGTCTGATTCCCAGGGAGCTCTGGAGCACAAGTAACTCCTTAGACTTTCTTCTCT